>NC_000007.14:88870415-89173445 GCF_000001405.40 Homo sapiens
ATTGGAAAACAGCCACTTCCCGGTTGTCTTAGATGAAATTCCAAGATCAGGAAACTGCTGCACTATTTCATTAGAACTGCATCAGCTGACATTGAATTCCTAGAAGCCATGGCTTCCCTCTCAATCTCAATTCACATTCAAATAAATGATTTTTCTTTAATGACAAATGACTGTCAGAACCTAAGTCACTTTCAGAGGTGTAGCTGCAAGGGAGTCTTGAAAATGCAGATTTTTAGCTGTCTGGGCCTTATAGTACAGAAAAAGGTGAGAAAAGATGCCAAAAGGAGTCAATCCTGACATATTTTTTAAAAATGCAAGTGCTTGAGTCATTTTTATGACCCCTGATCAAAACAGTTACACATTGCAAAAAAAGGCATTGCCTAGATAAACAAAATATTCTTGAATCATTTGCTCTAAACTAGGATATTATTTCTAGGCCTTTACTCTATTTACTTGGAACACTTTTTCTGTCTGTATTATTGATGATGGCAATTAGATATGAATATCTAATATGTTTGTCATAAGGAAAGATATTAATTGTGTTAATAAGATTCAGTAATGATATAATTTAATGCCATTTGTTTCTCATAGTTAAGTTCTAGATTTCAAAAAATTTTTCTATTAAAAGATTGATAATTCTCAATTCTGCAAGGAAGGGAGAACAACATAAACTGATTTTTTATTAAACCCGAGAACCATTTAGGAATAAATGATTGATATGTTGAATTGTCTCCTGCAAATAGGTGAAGATACCTGAAAAATAAAACATGGTATCTTTCATTCTTACTGAGGTGATTAAATGAGAACAAGTATGGCTATCTGAATTATCCCTGTGAACTTTAATAAGCTACTCTATCTATTAGGGAATCTGAACTGAAGACTATGCAGGCATACAAAGGCTCCTAAGTTCAGTACAATTAAGGGGGAAGAAGAGGGAACACATTATTATTATAATAAAAAAGTAAAAGTGCAATTTACCCCAGTAAAAAAAAAGGCACTACAAAAACCTGAAAATAGTAGAGGAAAAGTGCTTTTAAAATTTTTCAATTATCAATAACAATTGAAAGATAATATAAAATTCATTAATTATATAGCTGAAAATATATACTAATAAGAGAATAATTACACTATACTTTAGTGGAACTGAGCAAAATGTAAATATTATAAAGAAACAAACATAAAATATATATTTAAACTTCAGTACACAATATGATGCTATTGTAGCATTTTTCCATTTGTCGAAGGCAATGATAAAAGTGAAAACTGGGCTGGGTGCTGTGGCTCACACCTGTAATCCCAGCACTTTGGAAGGCCAAGGCTGGCAGATCACCTGAGGTCAGGAGTTCGAGACCAGCCTGACCAACATGGAGAAACTCCATCTCAACTATAAAAAAATACAAAAGTTAGCCGGGCGTGGTGGTGCATGCCTGTAATCCCAGCTACTACGGAGGCTGAGGCAGGAGAATTGCTTCAACCCGGGAAGTGGAGGTTGTGGTAAGCCAAGATTGCGCCATTACACTCCAGCCTGGGCAACAAGGGTGAAACTCTGTCTCAAAAAAAAAGTGAAAACTGAAGTGAAAGTAGTAATATGTAGGAAATTTTATGATTTTCCAAATGTGTATAATGGATTTTCATGGTGAACTGTGTTTTGTATTCAAACACAAGAATTTTTAAAACTCAGACAAAAATGGATTAATTCTTAAGTGTCTCAGGGGAACTTAACTGGAAATTTTGTGTATCTTATTTATTGAAATGCTATAAAATAGGCAAACACATTTAATTGGGATTCAGGCGGTTTAAGCACAGTTCAGTATTACACAGATAAATAATGGACCTGTACAAAATTGAACTGGTGCTTTAAAATCCACGATCATGCCTGTAATCTGAACACCTTGGGAGGCCAAGGCAGGAAAATGGCTTTAACCTAGCAGTTTGAGGCTGCAGTGAGCTATGATTGCGCCACTTCACTCCAGCCTGAGTGACAGAGCAAGAACCTCTCCCTAAAAGAAAAAAATAAAATCCATGATATTTCTTTTTTTTCTTTATGTTTTATTTTATTTATTATTATTATACTTTAAGTTTTAGGGTACGTGTGCACAATGTGCAGGTTAGTTACATATGTATACATGTGCCATGCTGGTGCACTGCACCCATTAACTCGTCATCTAGCATTAGGTATATCTCCCAATGCCATCCCTCCCCCCTGCCCCCACCCCACAACAGTACCCAGAGTGTGATGTTCCCCTTCCTGTGTCCATGTGTTCTCATTGTTCAATTCCCACCTATGAGTGAGAATATGTGGCGTTTGGTTTTTTGTTCTTGCGATAGTTTACTGAGAATGATGATTTCCAATTTCATCCATGTCCCTACAAAGGACATGAACTCATCATTTTTTATGGCTGCATAGTATTCCATGGTGTATATGTGCCACATTTTCTTAATCCAGTCTATCATTGTTGGACATTTGGGTTGGTTCCAAGTCTTTGCTATTGTGAATAATGCCGCAATAAATATACGTGTGCATGTGTCTTTATAGCAGCATGATTTATAGTCCTTTGGGTATATACCCAGTAATGGGATGGCTGGGTCAAATGGCATTTCTAGTTCTAGATCCCTGAGGAATCGCCACACTGACTTCCACAATGGTTGAACTAGTTTACAGTCCCACCAACAGTGTAAAAGTGTTCCTATTTCTCCACATCCTCTCCAGCACCTGTTGTTTCCTGGCTTTTTAATGATTGCCATTCTAACTGGTGTGAGATGGTATCTCATTGTGGTTTTGATTTGCATTTCTCTGATGGCCATTGATGGTGAGCATTTTTTCATGTGTTTTTTGGCTGGATAAATGTCTTATTTTGAGAAGTGTCTGTTCATGTCCTTTGCACACTTTTTGATGGGGTTGTTTGATTTTTCTTGTAAATTTGTTTGAGTTCATTGTAGATTCTTGATATTAGCCCTTTGTCAGATGAGTAGGTTGTGAAAATGTTCTCCCATTCTGTAGGTTGCCTGTTCACTCTGATGGTAGTTTCTTTTGCTGTGCAGAAGCTCTTTAGTTTAATTAGATCCCATTTGTCAATTTTGGCTTTTGTTGCCATTCCTTTTGGTGTTTTAGACATGAAGTCCTTGCCCATGCCTATGTCCTGAATGGTAATGCCTAGGTTTTCTTCTAGGGTTTTTATGGTTTTAGGTTGAATGTTTAAGTCTTTAATCCATCTTGAATTGATTTTTATACAAGGTGTAAGGAAGGGATCCAGTTTCAGCTTTCTACATATGGCGAGCCAGTTCTCCCAGCACCATTTATTAAATATGGAATCCCTTTTGCATTGCTTGTTTTTCTCAGGTTTGTCAAAGATCAGATAGTCATAGATATGCGGCATTATTTCTGAGGGCTCTGTTCTGTTCCATTGATCTATATCTTTGTTTTGGTACCAGTACCACACTGTTTTGGTTACTGTAGCCTTGTAGTATAGTTTGAAGTCAGGTAGCATGATGCCTCCAGCTTTGTCCTTTTGGCTTAGGATTGACTTGGCAATGCGGGCTCTTTTTTGGTTCCATATGAACTTTAAAGTAGTTTTTTCCAGTTCTGGGAAGAAAGTCTTTGGTAGTTTGATGGGGATGGCATTGAATCTGTAAATTACCTTGGGCAGTATGGCCATTTTCATGATGTTGATTCTTCCTACCCATGAGCATGGAATGTTCTTCCATTTGTTTGTATCCTCTTTTATTTCCTTGAGCAGTGGTTTGTAGTTCTCCTTAAAGAGGTCCTTCACATCCCTTGTAAGTTGGATTCCTAGGTATTTTATTCTCTTTGAAGCAATTGTGAATGGGAGTTCACTCATGATTTGGCTTTCTGTTTGTCTGTTGTTGGTGTATAAGAATGCTTTTGATTTTTGTACATTGATTTTGTATCCTGAGACTTTGCTGAAGTTGCTTATCAGCTTAAGGAGATTTTGGGCTGAGACAATGGGGTTTTCTAGATATACAATCATGTCGTCTGCAAACAGGGACAATTTGACTTCCTCTTTTCCTAATTGAATACCCTTTGTTTTCTTCTCCTGCCTAATTGCCCTGGCTAGAACTTCCAACACTATGTTGAATAGGAGTGGTGAGAGAGAGCATCCCTGTCTTGTGCCAGTTTTCAAAGGGAATGCTTCCAGTTTTTGCCCATTCAGTATGATATTGGCTGTGGGTTTGTCATAGATAGCTCTTATTATTTTGAGATACGTCCCATCAATACCTAATTTATTGAGAGTTTTTAGCATGAAGGGCTGTTGAATTTTGTCAAAGGCCTTTTCTGCATCTATTGAGATAATCATGAATATTAGACACATCAACGAGACAGAAAGTCAACAAGGATACCCAGGAATTGAACTCAGCTCTGCACCAAGCGGACCTAATAGACATCTACAGAACTCCCCACCCCAAATCAACAGAATATACATTTTTTTCAGCACCACACCACACCTATTCCAAAATTGACCACATACTTGGAAGTAAAGCTCTCCTCAGCAAATGTAAAAGAACAGAAATTATAACAAACTATCTCTCAGACCACAGTGCAATCAAACTAGAACTGAGGATTAAGAATCTCACTCAAAACCGCTCAACTACATGGAAACTGAACAACCTGCTCCTGAATGACTACTGGGTACATAACGAAATGAAGGCAGAAATAAAGATGTTCTTTGAAACCAATGAGAACAAAGACACCACATACCAGAATCTCTGGGACACATTCAAAGCAGTGTGTAGAGGGAAATTTATAGCACTAAATGCCCACAAGAGAAAGCAGGAAACATCCAAAATTGACACCCTAATATCACAATTAAAAGAACTAGAAAAGCAAGAGCAAACACATTCAAAAGCTAGCTGAAGGCAAGAAATAACTAAAATCAGAGCAGAACTGAAGGAAATAGAGACACAAAAAACCCTTCAAAAAATTCATGAATCCAGGAGCTGGTTTTTTGAAAGGATCAACAAAATTGATAAACTGCTAGCAAGACTAATAAAGAAAAAAAGAGAGAAGAATCAAATAGACGCAATAAAAAATCATAAAGGAGATATCACCACCGATCCCACAGAAATACAAACTACCATCAGAGAATACTACAAACACCTCTACGCAAATAAACTAGAAAATCTAGAAGAAATGGATAAATTCCTCGACACATACACTCTCCCAAGACTAAACCAGGAAGAAGTTGAATCTCTGAATAGACCAATAACAGGCTCTGAAATTGTGGCAATAATCAATAGCTTACCAACCAAAAAGAGTCCAGGACCAGATGGATTCACAGCCGAATTCTACCAGAGGTACAAGGAGGAACTGGTACCATTCCATCTGAAACTATTCCAATCAATAGAAAAAGAGGGAATCCTCGCTAACTCATTTTATGAGGCCAGCATCGTCCTGATACTAAAGCTGGGCAGAGACACAACCAAAAAAGAGAATTTTAGACCAATATCCTTGATGAACATTGATGCAAAAATCCTAAATAAAATACTGGCAAACCAAATCCAGCAGCACATCAAAAAGCTTATCCACTGTGAGCAAGTGGGCTTCATCCCTGGGATGCAAGGCTGGTTCAATATATGCAAATCAATAAATGTAATCCAGCATATAAACAGAACCAAAGACAAATCCATGATATTTCTATCATGCTTCTTGTACTCTCTTCTCGGAGGAATTGCTTTGCATTTTGGCTAATGAAATCATGTCCCCTCTTTACTTTCTCTCAAGTCTATCTCTTTTACTGCTTTCCCAGACAGATCAGTTTTAGCTTACCATAGCAACCTCTGGGACTTGACCCAGTCTTTGCAGACCTGTCAGATCAGTGTTCTCTCTTGAGCAAATTCCTTAAGTGACTCTTTCCTATCACATTAGATCTAACTTGCTCTTTTTGAATTCTCTAATAGGGATATGTTTAAATTAGTTGAATTAATTTTTGCTGCTCTTTCTGAATGCACTTCTGTGAGTCTAATGAGTCTAGGCTTCTTTAATTTAAATAAAACTATAATGCTTATTCCAGCATCTATACCTTTATTTACAATTATCCCTTTGATCAAAATATCTGTCTGTCATTTATTCAGTTACCAAATCCTCAACACTTCTGGAGATCCTAGGCCAAACTTTTCTTATCTATCAATGAGTTCTCTGACCACTAGGTCTATTTTAATCCACCCGCTCCCTCACTTCTTTACTCTCTTGTTGCATTTAGAATAATTCTGTCTTATATTGTTTGCTGTTAAGTTCATGTGTTTTAATCAATTGTCCTGCAAAAAGCTGTAAACTCCTTGAAAACATGGGCTGTGCTTTCATCTTCTTAATTAAAAGCAATAACTAGCTCATAGGTCACTTTCCAGGAGTTTTCAATATTATGCTTTAGCTCTAATAAAATCTTTATAAGAGAATATAAATGACCTAGAAATGTTAATAAAATATACACCACTTAAAAAGTATGTTGATTAAAGTGAAATTTTAGAAATATGAATTAAAAATAAGTAATAAAGACAAACATCACAATGAGCTTTACCTTAAAAACATCATCTGAGGTAGTACAGGAAATTATACAGAGAATATTTGAAAAAAAAAATATATATATATATATATAATATATATATATATATATATATATTTTTTTTTTTTTTTTTTTTTTTTTTTTGAGGCAGAGTCTCCCTCTGTCACCCAGGCTGGAGTGCAGTGGCACGATCTCAGCTCACTGAAACCTCCACCTCCCAGGTTCAAGTGATTCTCATGCCTCAGCCTCCTGAGTAGCTGGGATTACAGGTGTGTGCCACTAGGGAAAATAGAATTTTAAAAAGCAAAATGACTAATCAAGTCTGTGTAGATACTGACTGATAAGTAGAAAGTAGAACATTTCTCACTCTCTCTCAGCATTAGAACCCTGAGATCAACATTAGCCAAGTCATGAATTTGTAGGTATATGTAGAATTAGAAAGAAGCAATTTGGAAACAACTGTTAAATAATTGATTGATTTATATTAAAAGAGATGAAATCTGTAATACATATCTATCTGAAGGTATTATAATTTGAATTCCAGTCCCTCTTATTTTAGGGGTTAAATGGATATTAAGGGAGTGTGAACCAGTGGTTAAAATCTCTTTGGGACTTAGAAGTATCTGAGATAAAATCCTGTCTCTTCTATTAATTAAGGTGTGATTGTGGCCTAGTTACTTAGCTTCCCCACCCAGTTTCAGTCTTTATAAAATAAGCATAATAATAGTGTCTACCTCATAGAGTGAGTAGAAGATTAAATGTGATACAGAATTTATAGCGGGGAAAAATTCTTGGCATATGAAAGTATTAAATACATGTTTGCTGTTATTGCTATTATTATTTTCATAAAATATATTATCTTTTACATTCACTCAGAACCAGAGCCAATATTTCTATAAACTGTATTGTTTTGGAATTAAATGAAAAGTTGTGTGATAATATGTTACTCGTTTCAATACATAAGGAATTTATACTTCTTCCTTACAAAAATAGAGGTTTTGAGAATATTCCTCATTATTTCAGAGGTGAAACAACAGAATATGACAGAAAATACTGAAAAATACTATTGTAAAAAAGATGCGGTTAAATCATCATTGGCCATTGCAAGTAAAATTTTGGGATTAAGTATACTGTTAAATTAGTCAATATGTACATTTTAACTGAAATAAATAATTAGCTTAGATAATACTTCTAACTTAAGATAACTCATTATTCTCATTTGAACTTAAAATTCTTCCACTGGTGGTAATTTGAAATGGGCTATAATCCCATTGGTACCTTTTTTATGACAAGGGTTTTGGATCCTCCTGTCAGAATTCAACTCAGATTTAAAACCAGACTCTGGTCTCACTTTCTCCATTAGATAACACCAAAGATTGCCCTATTTCCCTTTAGAATTTATTATTTATATCACATTTTAAAAAATTTGGTAATTTGAGGCCTTGTCTTGCAACTTACTACCTCATGGATATATGTCTTAACAACTCAATTTTAATTTTATAGAGGATAGATTACTCAGTATTCTCATCTGTAAAACAGATATAATAAGGGTGTCTGCCTGATGAGAATGGTATAGGAATCAAGAGTAAACATAAGTAAAATGCTTAGAAGAGTGTCTGGCATATATTCAAACCTATTTGTTAAATAAAAACTAGATTTCTTTTGCATTTTTTTAATCACCTATACTATGCTATTTTTGACAATGAAAACAAAATTGTACTTGAAATAATCATGAAGAAATTGGCCATTTGGGATAATAATGTACTTTTATGCTGAAGGCTGCTTTTAACTAATACAAATGCATCCAATATAGATAAATTAGTAAAATCTTAATGAGATAAATAAATCAGTTTGCCTTTGTAAAACTTTAAATGTATCTAAATTTAGTGACTTAATTTAGTGACTTTTCCAATTAATTTGTTGTCTACACCATCTTCTAAATATACTACTTAAATTCCTGTTCCCATGTCTTAACTTTTGCAGTTATGCCCAAATACCTTATGCTTCCGCTCCTCTAGTCCTCATTCTACTCATGCTTCAGTACATCAGCGTCACAGACCACTCTGCCAGGCAATATTAGGTTCACGATGAAAAGGGAGAAGAAGAAATGTTGGCAGATTCCCGCGATACTCAGAAAACAGTATAAAAAGGACCAAGTGGTTTGAAACAGGATTTAAGATGCAAGAGATTACAAAGAAGCCTTCCTTGTAGATTGAATGTTAGCGTCAATTACTGATATAAACATCTTTGGAGGAGACCTCGTTTGAGCAAAGTTAATGACTTCTGTTCTGGATGTGTACAATTTAAAGGGCCTATAATATGTTTTACCCATGCATCCTCAACAAGGATGATATTGCCACCAAAGGGGGTAAAAATTGGTTGCTGGGGAGTAAAAAAAATCTTACTTTTTATGCACAAAGTATAGAAAGGCATATAGTACATAAACATTTATGCTACTGCATATTTATCAAAATTTCATGGAGGGCAATTAGGAAAATATTGTCTATAACACTTATGGGAAGCACAGATAATGTGAAGAAGTATGAAGTTATTCAAGAAGTATGGAATTTATGTGAGAATATGTGTGGGAGATCATATGTGTGTATGTATGCACATACACATATACATCTAAAGGAAGTCAGTGTACACACAGGAATTGAAGCCCCATGCATAGAAGAGTTTACCAGGGTCAGTAAATTCCAACTCACATTAAGAACATTAGGAGAGGTTTAAAAATCTTTCTGGACCGCACCCTGTGGAAATTCAATTTTTAAAGCTTCCCGAGTTAAGTCTAAAGTGTAGGTAGAGTTAAAAGCCACTTGAAGGCAGGCATGGTGGCTCATGCCTGTCATGCCAGCACTTTGAGAGGCTGAGGCAGGCGGATTGCTTGAGCTCAGAAGTTAGAGACCAGCCTGGGAAACATGGTGAAACCCCGTTTCTCCAAAAAATACAAAAATTAGTCGGGTGTAGTGGCAGACACCTGTATTCCGAGCTATGCAGGAGACTGAGGCAGGAGAATTGCTTGAGCCCAGGAGGTGGAGATTGCAGTGAGCCAAGATCGTGCCACTGCACTCTAGCCTCTACCCTGGGCTACACAGCGAGACTGTCTTAAAAAAGAAAAAAAAAAACCACTTATCTGGGGAGAGGAGTAATTAACGAATAAAAGTTGTTCTGTGACAGTCTTATGGAATTAGTTCCCAGAGCAACTGATATGAAAGATAATTTGGAACTTCAGAAAATATGGTGTTTTGCTAGCAGAGTCAAGGGAAAATTTGCTATAAAGAGGCTGAGTTGTGCAGTTTGTAATCTGAATTGTACAGAATCTGCAGTTCATAATCAGTTTCAGCTTTTGCTGAGAATTTGAAGAATGCCATAAAAATATTTACTGGATTTAACAAAATGGAGTTCATTGGTTTTGGCAAAGCAGATGACAAGTTGAAAACAGATTACAGTAGAAATAGTTTATTCTATATAGATTATCTAATTTCTATTTTTTCCCAAAAACACCGTGGTTATAATCTTTTGTCTAACATCTGTTGGATTGTCATTTTCTTACTGATACATAACAATGTCTTGTAATTTAAACATTACTGAATTTATTACATATTTTAAAGTCTTTATAAAAATTGCTTTGTTGTCTTAATTTTATTTTTAATTTAATGTTCTTTTGGTTTTGTCATTTCAAAGTTTAAAATATTATGCAGTAGAATTTACCAATCTGATACAGTAAACTAAGGGAAGACACTGGGCAGGAGCAATTTATACACAATGAGACAAACCAAGGAAGAAAATTTTAATTAAATTTTTCTTATGTGTAATTGAGGATATTGATTAAAAATTGATGACTTTCCATTTTCAATATGGTGATTATTAATTTTGCTTCTTTTGTCTTCCTTTCATGTATGAATATTTGTACTGTTCTAACATCTATTACCTTAATTTAATGGCTAGTGAACATTATTTTAATGGAAAATTCTTTAAACGTTAAGGCATTTAGTGAGGTAGATAATAGAAGCAAATAAACACTATTTAAGATTTATATTATTATCTAACCATTGCACAAAAGGCATCTCATAACTCTAACTCATAGTAAAATGAGTATATTGATCTCTCCATTTCCCAAATAGTGTTTTAAAGATAAAATGAATAATATGTCTTCATCATTATTAAATTATTGTGGAGATATTTAAAATTATGATAGAAGGTTTAGGATTCTTAATGGACTATAGGTTATTTATAAAAATAAATGAATGGATTGCATTTAGAAAGAATATTTATAAAGCTAATTTTCATACAACTTTATTTTGCCATCCAAATAATATTTTTTGGACAATTGAAACCTAGATCTCTGAAAAAGAATTTCAGTCTGTACTCATAAAAATACTATGAGATTATATTGCTGAGTTAGCACCATGAGAACAGTGTTTCTGCAAATTTTTTCTTCTAGGTGCCCACCCCACAGCAGATTCTTCACCAATATTTGTTAGAATTTAAATTTAGCCCAATTCTTTAAATAAGAATGCAGAGATTTCATGGTCTAAGAATAGAACAATCAGCACTCTTTGTGTTCTATTTTACTGCTTCATAAATAAAGTTCTTCAGTCCAAGACATCTGAACATGTATCAGAATATTCACTAATTATTGTGAACATATTTTAAAATGGCTTAGGCTACAGATTCTTTCCTTACAAATCCATCCCATTGTTTGGGGAATCCAATTGTAGGGTGCTTCATATCAGGACAAAAAAAATAAATTAGTAAACTTGTTTCTTTTTCTAAAAACGTCATAATAGATTTGCAATTTTCCATTATATATTTATTCAGCTTATTTTTGGAAGATGTTGGTCTTGTTAAGATATCACTGAGAATACTACATTACTATGTACAACTTATATTCTGGGAACTGTAAGTAACATTTAGCTGCTTACCCCAAATGGCCAAGTAAATGAACAACTGTTATGTCTTATCTTAGAAATAAAGGTTCACATAATCATCTTTCAGTGCAGAGTATTAACATTTGTTTGAGAAGAGCTCTTCAGTAGAAAATATAGCTAATATAGACACTATTATTCTCAATAAAACCAAAACAAAGCTGTAACTCTGAGTCTGTTCTCTTTCACCCCATTGCCTCTGTAGGAGAAAACATAACGAAAGCTCCAGTGCTCAGCACCAGCTCATGAGCACATTTGCCTCACTTAGTGTTTAAGATTGTATGCAGAAGGGCTTCATTTTTAGAATTAACAATGGTGCAATTCTTCATTAAAACATGTATGCCTAAAGAACATGAGCAGACACTTTTCAAAAGAAGACATACAAATGGCCAATAATATATTAAAAAATGCTCAACGTCAGTAATCATCAGAGAAATGCAAATTAAAACCACAATGAAATACCATTTCACACCAGTTAGAATTGCTATTATTAAAAAGTAAAAACTTACAGTTATTGGTGAGGCTGCAGAGAAAAGGGGACGCTTATACACTGATGGTGGGAATGTAAATTAGTTTAGCCACTGTGGAAAGCAGTTTGGAGATTTCTCAAAGAACTTAAAACAGAGCTTCCATTTGACCCAGCAATCTCATTAGTGGGTGTATACCCAAAAGAAAATAAATTGTTCTACGAAGAAACAACATGCACTTGTATGTTGGTTGCAGTACTATTCACAATAACAAAGACAAGAAATCAACCCAGGTGCCCATCAGTGGTTGACTGGATAAAGAAAATGTGGCAAATATGCGCCATGGAAAAGAATGAGATCATGTCATTTGTGGCAACACGAGTGCAGCTAGACCATAAGTCTAAGTGAATTAATGCAGGAATGGAAAAACAAATACTGAATTTTCTTGCTTACAAGTGGGAGCTAAACATTTAGCATTACACACGGACATAAAAGTGGGAACAGTAGATACTGGGGGGACTATTACAGCGGGGAAGGAGGAAGGGGACAAGGGTTGAAAAATTACCTATTGAGTACTATGCACCTGGGTCACAGGATCACTCATATCTCAAACCTCAGTGTCATGTAATACCCCCATGTAACAAATCTGCACATGTACCCCCTGAATCTAAAATGAAAATTGAAATTAAAAAATGTCTTCCAAATAATTTTTTAAATGACTATGCTTTCTACAAAAATAGAAGAAAAAAATTTTAAAAAAATTCCCTCTGGGTTAAACATGGTAGAGAATTGTCACACAAAAGAAGCATTTGCCAGCCATCATTTGCAAATTTCAAGATGTCTAGGAATCTCATAAGGAAATTGTTTAAAATGATTATTTACAGCCTCCACTGCCAGAGATTTTGATCTCATCAGGTTGGGATCCAGGGAACTCCAGAGACTGCATGCATCACATTTTGACAAACAGTGAAAAAGAATCCTTTTTTTCTTTGTCTTCCACGTGTTTAAAATTAGGCAGAGAGTTGGTGTTTCCTCTTTGTGCATACAACTAGACTAGATTTACCAGACATTGTTACATAAGGCATGGCCATATAACTGAGCTGTAGACAATGGAAAGTGAGTGGAAGGCAATTATTGGTCCTGACTCATAAAACCTTACTCAACACACTTGTCCAAGCTCTTTTCCCCTTTCAGCCTAGCTTAAGTGGAGGTGACCACTATGGTGGCATTGAAAGTCAACAAAATGTATAGGAGCAAACATCTTCTAAGTTAGCAGTTCTCCTCAACTTCAGCACAGACACAAATCAAATCATATGCTTGTTAAACCCACAGATTATAAAATTCTACCACCAAAGATTTTGATTTGATAGGTCTAGAAGAAATGCACAGGAATCCGTATTTTAAAAATCATGAGGCAATTCCGATTTGTGTGATTCTGGTTCTATAAGTTGAGAAGCACTGAATGTGTGTATGTGTGTATGTGTGTGTTTAAGTAATAGTGTAGTTAATGCTAGTGTTGGTTACTAATTATATGTCACTTATCAAACTACATCTATTTCTGCATCTTTTTATATATTTATTTTAGAAGACAATAACATTATAGGTTACAGAAAAAACTGGATCTCCAGAAATCACATTATAGATTACAGAAAAAGAAAATTGGATCTCAAGAAATCATCTAGTTTAATGGAGATCCTAATGAAGGCAGATGTCTAATCTCACTTTTTCTCAAACTAAATAATACCAGCTACTTCAACTCTTCCCTTAGGGTATTATTTTATATGTCTATAATGATTTTATCTTTTTTTTTTCTGAGCACTCTCCATATTCTTTACCTCCTTAAAAAATAAGGAGAGCAAAGTAAATATATTGATAAATGTTATTAATGCAGAGTATTACACAAAAATAATTTATAGGCTTTACATAAGTAGCCATTATTTATATTATATGTATTTTAAATACAGAGGATATTATTTAATTTCCTTAATGTATTGGAGACTTTAAAATGAAAAGTACATGTATCTTGTTCATTTTTATATGTCTGACTTACATTGGTTATCTTTTGCTTCTCATATATTTATTTTGCTTTATATCTATATATCTATTTATCATCTGTATCTATCTATCTTCTATCTATCTAATTTTGGCGTTTTATCTTAAAGTTTAAAAAAATCTATGGCACTATATACACCTATATGACCTTGATTCTCCTCCAGTGGTTTCCTATTTGTATGTTGAGGAGCTATTATATTTTAGACAAGAAGCTTGGCATTTTATATAAATTTCATATTTCAAATAGCAATTTATATTGCCTATTATATGACAGATGGAGAAATGAGATTGATATGTAATAACTTACTTGCCCAATATCATTTACCTAGTAAATTGCATTGTAATTTAACATGTTTTCATGCTCTTTTGTCTTAAAAAAATTAAAGCTTATGAGAAAAATTTTTATAATGAACATCCTTATATAGATAATTTTTATTTCATTATGAAATGAATTTTAACCAGAATTATGTTGTCTTTGAGTGGAAGTCACCATAATGGCAGTCTACAATTATGTTTATTAGTCTCGTCCATTGAATCAAGGTGCACATATTTCCCTTCTAGAAGGCTACTAATAATAATTTTCTCTCAATGCTTTTCCACTTTGAGCTTAAGGTGCTCCCGAATAAATTACTACACTAAATCCTGCCATCAACCAATGCAAAAGAGGAAGCATTTCAATGCATATATAATTTGTATCCCTACTTGAAATGCAGCATTAGATTTCTAGTCACCTCATATTGGATTATTCTTATTTTTGGGTAAAATTCAGTTTATGTACTAAAGATTCCATCACCAAAGTGAAAATAGTTGGGCATTATATTACATTATCTGCTACCTTCCTCAGAGCAGGAATTTTTATTTTGCATAAAAATGTCCTTTGTTTTTCCCTGAGTATTGAAATGTTCATGGTTTAGAGTCCAAATCTCTAAATGAGATCACTAGCTTGTATTTACTATGCTAATTTATCTTTTCTCATAGAACAATACCGGGTTTTCTCTGTGACTGCTGCTTTTCAGTGACGTATTGATCTGATTTTGGCTAAACAATACAATATTGCTAAAATCTGGCTAAGAAGAGGACCATATCAGATAATTCAGTAGAACTGTATATCATTTTCTATTAGAGAATTTATGTTTTCCCCTTGAATAGTCTATTTTTCCTAAGTTTGGACCATATTAAATATGCAGATGTACAAAGAACAACTATAAGCAATTACAACATACTAGATATGAAAAATGTTTTGATAAAAAGTCTATTAGGAATTATATCTCCTTTCTGCATCTTTCAGAAATTAGTTTTTTACTTTTCATAAGTTTTACTTTTCATAGTTTTCTTAAGATTACTTAAAGAGAATATCTTCTTGTCATTGTGAAATCGATAAAATATAAAAGCCATCTTATATGCGTCTGTTTAAACCTGCTGAAACATTATAATGAAATTGAAAATCACCATACATTGTGTGCAATAAAATAATGCATTATTAGTTATATTAGCACTCAGATCATTAAGAAAATAAAATGTTCTTTATCAAATTTTCAAGTCAACCTTTTGCTCTGAAATTTATCACTGCAGAAAATATTTAAATGGGAAGTCTGAATTTAATGCTTTTGTATCTATCTGTTCTTTTCAGGAATTTGAGGCATTTTGTTAGTTTTCCATTAACCACAAATATATATCTTACATTTCACCATAAGATATGAACATAATTTAGGAGACGAATTAGTTCAAAACAATGGACCATATTTATAGGATCATTAATGCAAATAAAGGAGCAGTTGTACATTTATTCCAAAATTTTATCTGAAATTTGGGAGGTTTTGTGGTGATGGTAGATGGATTAGGGATGATACTCTTCCTATACAGATTTCTTGCTCTGCATGGATGTATATTTGTAGGTGTGGGTAGGTGTTGATGTCTACTTGACAGTGGAGGGTGGGAGGAGAGGAGCAGAAAAGATAACTATTGTGTATTGGGCTTAATACCTGGGTGATGAAGTAATCTTTACAACAAACCCCTGTGACATGAGTTTACCTATGTAACGAACCTTCACCTGTTGTTTAAAAACATATTTTTGCATTAAATTCAGACTTCCCATTTAAATATTTTCTGCAGTGATAAATTTCAGAGCAAAAGGTTGACTTGAAATTTGATAAAGAACATTTTATTTTCTTAATGATCTGAGTGCTAATATAACTAATAATGCATTATTTTATTGCACACAATGTATGGTGATTTTCAATTTCATTATAATGTTTCAGCAGGTTT
This sequence comes from Homo sapiens, assembly GCF_000001405.40. Classification (NCBI taxonomy): domain Eukaryota; kingdom Metazoa; phylum Chordata; class Mammalia; order Primates; family Hominidae; genus Homo; species Homo sapiens. Next base: position 88,886,649 of record NC_000007.14, read on the forward strand.
AAACAGACGCATATAAGATGGCTTTTATATTTTATCGATTTCACAATGACAAGAAGATATTCTCTTTAAGTAATCTTAAGAAAACTATGAAAAGTAAAACTTATGAAAAGTAAAAAACTAATTTCTGAAAGATGCAGAAAGGAGATATAATTCCTAATAGACTTTTTATCAAAACATTTTTCATATCTAGTATATTGTAATTGCTTATAGTTGTTCTTTGTACATCTGCATATTTAATATGGTCCAAACTTAGGAAAAATAGACTATTCAAGGGGAAAAACATAAATTCTCTAATAGAAAATGATATACAGTTCTACTGAATTATCTGATATGGTCCTCTTCTTAGCCAGATTTTAGCTCAATATCACTGATCATTAAGGAAATGCAAATCAAAACCACAATGATACTGTCTCACACCTGTCAGAATGGCTACTATAAAAAGTCAAAAAATAGCAGATGCTGACAAGATTGCGGAGACAAGGGAACTCTTCCCTGTAATAGGCAGCACCATCATTAAATCATTTCTTTAGAAAACAAAAATGCATTTTTTTCATGTTTGTGATGTTTGTTGGCCATTTGTATGTCTTCTTTTGAGAAGTGTCTGTTTAAGTCCTCTGCCCACTTTTTAATGGGGTTGTTTTTCTCTTGTAAATTTGTTTAAGTTCCATATAGATGCTGGATATTAGACCTTTGTCGGATGCATACTTTGCAAATATTTTCTCCAAGTCTGTAGGTTGTCTGTTTTTATAGTTTGGGGTTTTACATTTAAGTCTTTAATCCATCTTGAGTTCATTTTTGTATATGGTGTAATGAAGGGATCCAGCTTTAATCTTCTGCATATGGCTAGCCAGTTACCCCAGCACCATTTATTGAACAGGGAGTCTTTTCCCTATTCCTTGTTCTTGCTAGCTTTGTCAAAGATCAGCTGGTCATAGGTGTGCAGCCTTATTTCTGAGCTCTCTATTCTGTTCCACTGTAAACCACTTTTTAAAAAATAATGAGCCCTTTCCATATATTCTAATTGTGAATCTTGATCATAATTATATTATGCCCAGCTTATGTTTTACAAAGTGTTAAAATAAGCTCTGCATGAGTTCATTGTAAAAAAAAAAAAAGTGCAGATTTGTATTTACCCCATGCATATCTTTGTACACTTTCTGCTCATTACTACGATCCTACCCAGTCTCCACAAACACACACAGATGTGGCTTTGATATTAAGTTTTACATTTGCTTATATATGTATATTCTTTAAAAAACACAGGAATGTATATATATATCTGAGAATTGCTATTTCAAAAATATATGTATTACTGAAAATTTCAGTGCTAGTAATACATATTGTCACTTTTTTACTGGCTCTATAGTTGCAGTTATATAAATCTATTATATTTTACTTTAATATGTTCCTATAGATGGACATCATTATGCCCAAATGATAATTTTAAAAATTTAGTTTTATGGGCTGGGCATGGTGGCTCACGCCTGTAATCCCAGCGCTTTGGGTGGCTGAAGTGGGCAGATCACGAGGTCAGGACTTCGAGACCAGTCTGGCCAACATGGCGAAACCCCATCTCTATGAAAAGTATAAAAAATTAGCCAGGCGTGGTGGGGGGTGCCTGTAATCCTGGCTACTTGGGAGGTTGAGGCAAGAGAATCACTTGAACCTGGGATGCAGAGGTTGCAGTGAGCCGAGACCATGGCACCGCACTCCAGCCTGGGCGACAGAGGGAGAGTCTGCCTCAAAAATATATATATATTAGTTTTATGATCATCTATTAATACAATTAGTTATCATCACCAATGATTTACGTATTTATGATACTTTTACAGTTGGTCTTCTATGTTTACAGACACCGTATCCATAATTTAGCTCTGAAAGATGATTAATGCCAGAAACTGTAGAGCAATTAACACACCTGAAACATTTTATCACAAGTAGAAAAAAAAGACTGATTGCCTATCAGACAATATTGAAAAATTGATATTTTTATTACTATAACTGTTTGAATGTTTTACAATGAAAAAATTTCATTATTTTGATCATGCTACTCTGTTTTACTTAAGCATTTTAGTATTTTAAAGAGGTAGGATTGTAATCCCTGACCCTGTTTTTTGTTTTTCGTTTTGTTTTGTTTTGTTTTTTTAACTTCAACTTTTGTTTTAAAGTCACAAGACACTTACCGGTTTGTTACATAGATATATTGCGTAAAGCTGAGGTTTGGGTTACAATTGATTGCATCACCCAGGTAGTGAGCATAATGCCTAATAGTTGTTCAGCCCTTGCCCTCTTCCTCTCTCCTGCCTCAAGTAGTCCCCAGTGTCTGTTGTTCCCATCTTTATGCTCCTGTGTGCTCATTGTTTAACTCCCACTTATTAGTGAGAATGTGTAGTATTTGGTTTCCTGTTCCTGAATTTTGCTTAGGGTAATAGTCTCCAGTTGAATCCATGTTGCTGCAAAGGATATGGTTTCATTCTTTTTTATGACTACATAGTATTCTTCCATGGTGTATATATACCATATTTTCTTTATCCAGTCCACCACTGATGGGCACCGAGGTTGATTCCATGTTTTTGTTATTGTGAATTGTGCTGTAATGAACATAGGAGTACATGTGTCTTTCTGGTAGAATGGCTTATTTTGGGGGAGGGGTATATATCCAGTAATGAGATTGCTGGGTCCAAGGAACTCTATTTTGAGTTACTTGAGAGATCTCCATAACGATGGCTAAATTAATTTACATTCCCACCAACAGTAGATAAGCATTCCCTTTTCTTTGCAGCCTTATCAACGTCTGTTATTTTTTGACTTTTTAATAATTGCCATTCTGACTAGCATGAGTTAGTGTTTCATTGTGGTTTTAATTTACATTTCTCTGATGATTAGTGATGATGAGCATTTTTTTCATGTTTGTGATGTTTGTTGGCCATTTGTATGTCTTCTTTTGAGAAGTGTCTTTTCATGCCCTTTGCCCACTTTTTGATGGGTTCTTGTTTTGTTTAAGTTCCTTGTAGATTCTGGATATTAGACATATGCCACTTGCATAGTTGGGGAATATTTACTGCCATTCTGTAAGTTACCTGTTTACTCAGTTGATAGTTTCTTTTGCTGTGCAGAAGTTTTTGAATTTAATTAAGTCTCACTTGTCGATTTTTATTTTTGTTGCAATTCCATTTGAAGACAGTCATAAATTCTTTCCCAGGGCCAATGTTCAGAAAAGTGTTTCCTAGCTTTTCTTCTAGGATTTTTATAATTTGAGGTCTGACATTTACATCTTTCATCCTTCTTCAGTTAATTTTTGTATATTGTGAGAGATAGGGGTCTAGTTTCATTCTTCTACATGTGGCTAGCCAGGTAACCCAGCATCACTTATTGAACAAGGAGTCCTTTAACAAAATTGGAAAATAAAATTATATTGACAATAAGTTATTTCATAATACATTTTTGAATTAGGAGTAATTTTAGAAATTTACGTGAAGACAGTAGATATCTATAATTTTTATAGAACACATCATAATAACACCTTCACATAAGTCCAAAGGTACTCTTCAGAAATAATGACTATATTTCTCTGAACTATTTTTAGTATTAGCTCTTCAATTTTAACTTTGAATTTTAAAATTATTTGTATGTATGATATTAAGTAAAGTGTTCAAACAATTTTTTAATGAATAAATCTCCTGTAAGTATTTGTTTGCAGGTTTTTACATAGACAGGAGTTTGCATATCAATTGAGTACATGCCTAGGAGCATGAGAGCTGGTATTGCATGGTAAGACCATGTTCAGCTTTGTAAATTGCCAAAATGTCTTCCAAAGTGGCTGTACCATTTGCCTTCTCACTATCCATGAATGAGAGTTCTTGTTGCTCCACATTTTTACCAGTAATTGATATTGTCAGGTTGGATTTTAGTCATTCTAATAGGAGTTTGGTAGATTTCTGTGCAGTTTTACCACATAGGATGTTTAAGCATTTTATTGTTTAGTTGCTTTTTTTCCCAAAATTTTATTAATGGAACCACGTTTTATGGTGACATTTTGCTTAAAAATGTTTTGCTGAGTTATTGGTGGATACATATAACTGCATGTTCTTAATTTTCAGTTCTGTATATTATCCCACTGTATAAAATGTAACACAATTTATTCATTTTATTATAAATAACATTTGAGTTGATTCCAATTTTTCACTTATTCATAACACATTTATAGTATTTATCATACAAATCATGCATATGTTAGATTTATTCCTAGATAACAGTGATCTTCTGTGGTCACTGTAAATAGTGCCTTGTTTAACTTTTTTCAGTTCTCATCAACTGACATACGTATTTATCTGTTTTGTTTTGTTTTGTTTTGTTTTATCCTCCTCAATAGAATATAGGCTTTTTGAAAACAGCGTTAATTGTTTGTGTTGTTTACTGATATACCCCTACCACACACAACAGTGCATGACATGTAAGAGACCCTCAATAAATATTTAAGTTAATGAATGATATAGAAACATAATTGAGTTTTCCATGTTATCCTTATATATTATGACCTTGATAATGATCGTTAATTCTATCCTTATGCACTGATTGTAGATACATCTATTTTTGCTTTAAGTGTGTTGAGACTATATTTGTAGGGTATACACTTTTGGTATTGCTCTCTCTTTCTAGTGAATGGAAATTTTAATCACTATGTATTTATTTCTAACAAATATTTTAATTAAAGTCTATTTTGTCCAATAATAATAGCTATATCCATTTTTATTTTGTTTGCCTTTTATATAATTTTCTACCCTATTATTCAAACCTTACATGTCCTTATGCATTATATGTCTATTAGACTATCATGTAATTCACTGTAATCCAATCTGATAATCTCTTTAACTTGAAGTATTTATTGCCTTTACCTCGTTTGAATTATAAATTTGAGAACAATTCTATTATTTTATTTTTTACATTATATTTGTCCTGACTTTTCTAAGTAGATTTTTTTTTTTTAACTTTTAGCCTTTCTTTGGCTAGTTGAGGCTTTAATTCCCCTTTTTATTTTATTTCTTTCTCTCTACTAGTCTTTGTTTTGTTTTGTTTTGTTTTTTGAATTTTGATGTTTCTTTTTTTTATACTTTAATTTCTAGGGTACATGTGCACAACGTGCAGGTTTGTTACATATGTATACATGTGCCATGTTGGTGTGCTTCACCCATTAACTCATCATTTACATTAGGTATATGCTATCCCTCCCCTACCCCACGACAGGCCCTGGTGTGTGATGTTCCCCTTCCTGTGTCCAAGTGTTCTCATTGTTCAATTCCCACAAATCATTTTCTGTTTTCAGTGTTTACCCCAAATATTTTCATGTGCAAATTTAACATATAAAAGCCTAAAGTTATACAATATTTTTACCATCTTTCTTCTAAACCAAAGATCCTTAGCATGTGTTACCTCCAGCCACCCTACTGTTAACATAAATGCCTTTACTGTCCAGAAATATATTTAAATATATTAATTTTGATGCTACAAATTAGATATTGTTGTTTAATACAGTAAGTGTGTATTTAGATCTACATTTATTTTCTAATTTGTATGATCTCTGTTATTTCCAGCATCATAGGCCTTCCTTCTCAGATATTTTTCTTTATTCTTGAAGTATAGAAGTTATGTGGTGCTTTAGGGAGTATTTGTTTTTTGGGTTTGTTTATGAAGGGTTTGTGTCTATCTGTAGATATCTTAATTTCCACTCTAACTTGTAGAAAATAGTTTTTTTGGGGAGTATCTTTCTAGCTTTATAAACAAGTTTTTTCCTTCTCTCCTATGTCTCTGGCTTCCATTATTCTTGAAAAGTCATTGTCATTTTAAGTGTCAGTTTTTTGTATAGAGTATCTTTTCTCTTTGACTTCTTCTGTAAGTTCTATAGTTTCACTACCATTTGCCTCATTGCAGACTTCTAAAAAAATGTATCCTTGTTGTTCTTTGAGATTCCTAAAAAGGCAAATTCACATCATTAATCAATTCTGGAAAAGTCCTAGCCATTACTTTCTTTCAATATCAACTTCTCCCTCTCATCTCCCTCCAAAATGTTTTTTCTTTCTCCTGTTTTTGTTAAACTTTGTACCTTTCATCTCCTGGTCACTTCGTTCCTGGAAACACACATTAGTGGGAACACTAATTTGGGATCAATTAAAAGACAATTTCAGATTTGAAATTTCAGATTTCAGTTCAGGTATTTTGAATTATATTGGTATTGTTAGTTATAACTCTAAACTTGTTTAAATGTTGAATTATGGTCAGAAGTTCTTAGAGGAAACTTTTTGATTCTTCTCCCATTGTCTTCCTATCAGAGTAATTTTTTAAACTTAGTTTATTTGCAGAGTGTGTTGCCTTTTGTGGGGGCTTGTATGGGGTTTTAATGTGGGTTTTAAATTTAACCTATTTGCTGAGGTTCCAGATTTTGCTTCTTATCCCTCAAGCACTTTGGTCATTATATCCTAAATCTAGGTCAACAGCTATCAAAAGATACCTCCAGGGTAAATGCCACTTTCAGCATTTGATATGGTAAGCACATATGGATTACTATTTTATTATAGTTTCTGACCTCCAAGGAATATAGTTGCTTTCTCACCACCTAAGCAAGTATTTAAAAAGGCATTTCAAAAATATGTCATCTACCATTTTTGGGACATACTTATCTGAACATCTATCATCCGTATTGCTTTATTACACAGATTTAAAATTTTATTATTGAAATATGAACCCATTATTTATATAAACCCTTTAAAATTATTTTAAAAATATTGATGTATGTATTTAATAAATACATACCCTGCCTGTCTCCTTTAAGATTTCAAAAAAATACTATATATAAACTATAGCATTATCAAAGTATGGATAAAATATCAAAAACCATACAGTAGAAAGTAAATTATACTAAAGCTTATGCAAATAATACTTATTAAAATAGAGTGTTGAACTTAATAGATTTGACTTAAAAGTGTGGCTGCCAAAGGTAATAGGCATAAGGAAACTTAATAAGGAAAAACACTCAGATACCAACACTTCCCAGCATTTAGCTTGAAAAGCTGTGTGTCACAATGTGAAGCGACATTTTGAAAGATATAATAGACAATAGCTTCCAATAACTTTATAAAACAGAGGAAACAGTAATTACATGGCTATTTTTAACTTTTATTCTCAATGTCCATCAGATAATTTGAAATTAACATTCATTGGGGACATTATTACAAGTTAACTTAATGTGGAAAAAGGATGAAGCATTCTGATGATTTTCTTTAAAATAAGGAAACATCATGGAAAATTAGATAAATTTATTATTAGCATGTATCTGAAATAAATAATACCACCCAGTCTATTCTCCAAAATATTAAGATATATGTATTTAATAAATACATACCCTGCTTGTCTCCTTTAAGTTTTCAAAAATACTGTATATAAACTATAGCATTATCAAAGTATGGATAAAACACTCTTTATAAGTGTTGGAAAATAGTTAATTTTAGATTAAACATTACAGTGAATTTCTCAGTTGTGGGCTTCAATGAGTTAAATTTTAAAACTATGCAATCCCTTTTTTTTTTTTGAGATGGAGTTTCACTCTTGTTGCCCAGGCTGGAGTGCAATGGCGCAATCTCAGCTTATTGCAACCTCTGCCTCCCGGGTTGAAGTGATTTTCCTGCCTCAGCCTCCCAAGTAGCTGGGATACAGATATGCACCACCATGCCCAACTAACTTTGTATTTTTAGTAGAGATGGGGTTTCACCATGTTGGTCAGGCTGGTCTTAAACTCCTGACCTTAAGTGATCCACCCACGTCAGCCTCCCAAAGTGCTGGGATTACAGATGTGAGCCACCGCCCCTGGCCCAATCATACGCTATTAATAGCATATTTTAGATTGAAAATCCTAAGAAAAACCATCAGATAACAATTTTATTTATCAAAGAATGGAGGCAACCAAGATATCCTTCATTAGGTAAATGGATAAACAAACTTTGGTAAATCCATATGATAAAATACTATTCAATGATAAAAAGAAATGAGCTGTGAAGCCTCAAAAAGACATGAAGGAAACTTAAATGCTATTGCTACAGGAAGGAAGCCAGTCTAAATAGGCTATATACTGCATTATTTTGATGATATAATATTCTAGAAAAGATGCAATTATGAAGATAAAAATAGATCAGAGGTTTGGGGAGGGGGGTGGTTAAATATATGAAACACTGGGGATTTTTTAGGGTAGTTAAACTATCCTGTATAATATTGAGCTGGAGGATACTTGACCCTATGCATTTTTAAAAACTTCTAGAACTCTATAACACAAATGGTGAACATTAATGTATACACTTTAAGAAGTCAGGGTATACCTAATAAAGTGCAAAATGACAAAAACTATTAAAATGTATAAAACAATCTCACTGATGGGGGTATAGATTTTTTTATTTTGTTTTGCTTTTCTTTTTAAACTGACCTAAGTAATTTTGGAAATGAAGGGAGATTGTCAAGAGTAAAGCCAAAAGAAACTGTATATAACTACTAGGTTCTAGTTGACAATGTTGGTTCTCACATTAGAAATTTAACAATTATGAAATCACTATACTTGTACATGGAAGTGGAACAAATAAGTAAATGGGTGGCAGATGGTAGAAGCGAAGCTTCTCACTGTTAAAGTGGGAAGTTACATATAAGCAAGGAGGAAGGCTAGAATAAACCTTGCCATACTGGATTAGAGTTGGATGGATCAATATGACTTCATGTTTAGCTTAATTAGATACTGATAGATATACCTAGCAATATTTATAGGTATGTGCTAGTATGCATGTGAGTTAGTGTTCATGCATGTATTTCCTAACACTGTCCCTTCAGAGGGCCTAGAAGCGATGATACCCCATTAGCAATGAGCACATCCAGCACCAAGATCTTGGTTTCTAATACCATCCTCCAACGAAAGAAACCAGCACTCCTTAGTGAAATGCATGGTTATGGGACTAGGACAGGGTATACACAAGATGAGACTATCCTGTCTTGTCTTGTGGTACCAGAAAGTAAGGATGTGCTCAGTAAAGAAAACTATGAAGGTTTGTCCAAAGGACACGGAAGACAACTGAAAGAGCTCCGAATATTCAAAGCTGGAACAAGTTGTGCAACAGAATAAACTGTATTGGATTATAACCAAAAGTGTAAAATAAATATCTATGAGTTTGTACTTATATAAATACATTATTGAATAATTAAACAGGTGGGGGAAATAGACAAGTTTTCATGCAGAAGAACACCAAATAAATTATGTAGACACTGTTCCATCAAGATGTTGGATTATAACTCCTTACTGCTTATGTGCAGACTACACACTTTGATTTAATTTCAAAGAGTAGAGTAATGGACTGGGGGAGAGATAGTAATTGTACGTTGGAGAAATCTGACAAGCACTACCTTAGGCAGGTGATTAGTGATAAGTCATGTTACCTTTAATATGATGTGCTGAGAATGATTATCTCTCTGGTTTTTGTCTCCAAAATCCACTACCCTAGTGTAACCATGTGAAAAACTTCTGAAGAAATCCAAATGAAGCATAGAGTTTAGTTCATGGTAATTTATCAAGATGGATTCATTAGCTGTTTCAAATATATCATACTAATATAAGATGCCAGTAATATGGAAAAATGGGTGAGAAGTACAAAGGAACTCATTGTACTGCCTCTGGAACTGTTTTGTGAATGTAAACTATTCTAAAATGGAAGGCTCATTTGCATAGAAAATAAAAGGAATAATGAAACTAAAATTTGGGATATTGATTACTTCTGGCAGGGGAGGGAAAGAAATAAGGCACATGGAGGCTTCAAAAAGATTATCAATAGTTCATAAAGTGGGTGATGTTTACATTTTTATTTTTTATTTTTATATTCATGTATACTTCATGTATGATTTTGTATGTTGATATGCCAATTATTTATAAAGTAACAGTCGCCTAAAGAATACGTGATACAGAAATGGAAGAAATTCTAAGAGATAAGTTTATCAGAGAGGTTTCTCTGGGAGGTAATACTTAATCATTTGGCCAAATAAATAATTGGAATGCTAAAGCTATAATTGATTTGGAATTGAAGATGGAGTATGACATTGCAATTATGTGTTATGCCCAGTGCCTTTGTAAGAGGAAAGATAGAAAGGTTGTCTTTCAGAAGTGAGAAATTTATTTGGCAGGGCATTTGAAAGGGTATGCTTTGAGAATTATGCATGTTAATTTTTCTCATAAAAGTGAATAATAATGCTCATAGTGATAATAATAGCTATAATTCATGCCTATTATGAGTTAATCACAAGTTGACTGCCTTCCAATTCTTCTCAAAGGCTGTGCATGGATAATTGATAATCAAGAGAGATGTTCGATAAACTTATTGCCTGTTGTTGATATTATTACTCTTACTGTACATAAACTGCGATAGACTGACTGATGCCACCACTAAAGATATCCATGCATTAACCCCCAGAACCTGTGCATGTGTTACCTTACGTAGCATAAGGAACTTTGCAGAGAGGCTTAAGTTAAGGATCTTAAAATGGGGAGATCATCCTGGATTATCTAAGTAGGCCCAAATAATCAAATGGGTTCTTGTAAGAGGGATGCAGAGGGAATGGGAAAAGATGTCACAGATGTCTTTGGCAAAAGATGTCACAGTGGAACCAGAGGTTGAAGTAATACGCCTTAAAGACCATGGAAGGGGCTCAAATGCAGGCATGTGGGTGGCTTCTACAGGCTGGAAAAGACAAGGTAACAAATTCTCTCCTAAAGTCTCCAGAAGGAATGCAGTCTTGCTGACACCTTAATTTTGGACTTCTGAATTCCAGAAATGTAGGGGATTAAATATGTGCTGTTTCATACCACTAACTGGTAATTTGTTACCCTACAATAGGAAACTAATACATTATGTCATGAAACCTCACCAGAACTCTATAGATTGGAACTCGGATTCCTCAATTTACAGATAAAGAATCAGAGTCTCAGCTAAATTAAGGAATGTATTTGTATTCAGCTTCTCTTCTCTGTTGAGTGGCAAAGCTGAGATTTAAATCAAAGTCTCTCTTCCTCTGAAGCCTATACCCTTTCAGCTCTAATACTGCCAGATTAGTGCAGTGGTCCTGGAGTTAAGCTGTCTCTATTGGAATCCTACTTTACTACTTGCTGGGTGAAGTTAGTTAACAGCTTGGGGGAAGAATAGTACTTTTTTTTTTTTTTGCGTCAGATTCATGATAAAATGAATAACAGTACTTAACCTGCATTATTGTCAAAACAATCTAAGTATTTAGCAGCATACCTTCATATCTACTGAAATAGCCTGAAGGTCTTTTAAACCAGAAATGTCCAAAATTGAATTTATTATCCAAACTCTCAAGCTACCCCACCTCCTTCCTATATTACTTCTCCATCTTTTTTTTTTTTTTTTTTTTTTTTTTTTTTTGAGATAGAGTCTCACTCTGTAGCCCAGGCTCTAGTGCAATGGCGGGATCTCGGCTCACTGCAAGCTCCGCCTCCCGGGTTCACGCCATTCTCCTGCCTCAGCCTCCCGAGTAGCTGGAACTACAGGCGCCCGCCACCACGCCCAGCTAATTTTTTGTATTTTTAGTAGAGACGGGGTTTCACCCTGTTCGCAAGGATGGTCTCGATCTCCTGACCTTGTGATCCACCCGCCTCGGCCTCCCAACGTGCTGGGATTACAGGCGTGAGCCACAGCGCCCGGCCAGTTCTCCATTCTTATGGCTTCATCATCTTACATTCTCTGCATCTCGTCTTCTCTTCTGACCTCCTACTAGATACTTTGTTATCCATGACGCCCCCTTCTGCTGCACACACATGCTAGAAATCTAATTGTTCACATGTGAAATTCTTCACTTGGAATCCAAATATAGTTATCATGTCTCATTTATATGGTCACACCTCTCCCCCGCTTCTCTCTCCCACAGTCTAGAGGACCCTCCCGCTGTTATTAACAGTATTTTCAACATCTCAGTCTTTACCTTCCCCTTGATATTGTCGAAGATAATTTTCTTCAAGAGGATTCAATTTACTTTTGCTTTCAAATGCTAGATGCCTCACTGCCCTTTATGTTGGTGCTGAAGAGAGGCCTGGTGCTTGTTTGCTCTGCAGTGATGCTATTACTGGTTTAGTCCCAACACAGGTCACACGTGCCTCTGGGCTCCTGCTTCAGGGTGATAGCTTCACTGGTTCACATCATCATGCTCAGCCATTGTTTCCTAGAACTGCACACAAAAGACAGAGCGGTGGGTCCTGAATGGTCACAGTCTTAACCCTTGTCTCTTCTAGAGCCAATCAGAGCCAACCCTTAAGTTCCAGTTCTGAGTCTAAGAAACAATGCAGGTACACATCCCCATCCCCAATTTTTGGTGAGTTCCATTTTAGAGCCCTTTCCTTTCTTTAGATTCCATTCTGGTCCACAGTGCCAGAGCTTCTGATATTTGATCAGTGTAAAATAGATCAACACTTCATTCCTAAGATGTTCAAGGTTGTATTCAGAGAAATTCCGCATTCTTTATATATGATATCTTCAACAATTTTTTTTCTTACACTTCTTATGCACACCAAGAGATATTCAAGAAGAGTAGCTAAAATAAGCCAAATAAATGATCCTATCAAAACTTTCTGGGGACGGTGGTTACCTAGTCACCTTATACAAAATCCCATAAAAAAAATCTGCTCTAAGGTTACATACATTTCCAAATATGGACAATAAATAGGTGACAAGGTTTCTAAAACTGAGCCTTATTAGGCATTCTGTTTCACCTTGTCACTGTATCACCCAGCTCTGATCTCTTTCTTCACTGTCATATTCTTCATTCAAGTTTGCCTCACCTCTCACTTAAGAATTGCCTCAGCTCCTAGCCAATCATCTTGCCTCCAGACTCTCCCTTTTTTTGTCTACCCACTACTTTAACAGTTCTCGAAACAAACATAATGGATTATTTGCTTTTTTGTTTAAAAGCCCTTTTTTACTTCTCATTACTTCTGGAATCAATTCCAACTTACTTCAATTTATTCAAGACAAGGTCCTCTAGAAAGGGGCTACAACATAACTTTCTACTGTTAGCTCCCAGGACCATCATCCTCAGATACCCATATCTCCTTCTATGTACTAAAATCCATTTTCTCCAAAGTATGTATATAGTAATAAAAATCTACTTTTAAGACGGAAAAGAAGGCAAGTCCTTTCTTTCTACATTGGTAGTTTACATATTTTATGAGATAATTAACATATGGATTTCATATGTAGGTTAAAATGCGTTCAGGATGAAACACTGAGTTTTACTTGACAAAAGGTATTGTGAATTGGTGTTTCTCAAAATTCAAATTTTATGAATAGTACAGTGAAACAGTAAACATGTTCTAAGGCTGTGTTTAACATTGAAGGTTGAGAGTTCTAATTTATTTTGAGATTACGAAAAAGATGTATATTTAAAATACTTATTTTAGAACAAGATTGGCTGGCATACTTTATGTATACAGATTTAGAATTTTGTAAATTCATATGATACAGCAATAAGATTGTGAATGAACAAAGATGTTAGTTCAGTGCACATTTTTCTTTAGATTGTTTTATTTGATTCTAGGATTTTTAAAAATTGGCAATCGTTACACATGATGAACTATTCAGACCCCTTAAAAACATATTTAAATGGAATGAATAAAACTATGGATATTGCATTCCTATTAGATTTTACTTGCTTTAAAAAAGCATGTAGAACAAAATATATTCAAAGATTTACATAAGCCAGAAACTTAAGAAATAGTTTGAGATTAAAGACTATTTCAAATAGACAGTATTTTTCCATTTGATCTATTAAATTTTCAACAATAAATTTCAATTAAATTTGGTCATTCCAAAAACATTGGTCAAGCATCTAGTATGTGTCAGGCACTGTGATCAATATTGGGGAAAAGAGAAAAAAAAATCTCTTTATTATTGAGGAGTATGCAGTATACTCCCATGTGGGTTTAGACAGATATTTGAACAAATATTCATAATATAAACTAATAATTCCTATAATAGAATGATATAAAAAGTATTTATGCAATCTCTTTTGTACTTTAGATGGCCATCATATTTTTGTTTCTTTCCTATTAAGTTAATGGAAATAAATTACAATGCAAAGAAGATTAGTTGTGTTATTGAATTGACCCACGGAAAAAAAAACATTATACAGAATTGCTCTGCTTGTTGCTTATGTTCAAGGCAAACAAAGGTAAAATATTATATTTAAAATAGCCGTAGTACATACAGAATTCTCAAAAAGTAATTTAATGATAAATACTTCTAGAAGTAGTGACCTCCTATTTTCAATATAGCATTTATATACTCTATTTTAATTTGCTTTTTCAAGTTATTAGTGGCTTTTTCAGCCATTATCCAGACTAATTTTGGTACATAAAAGGTATAATCACAGTGAAAATTGACTTTTTTATTCAACAGAAAAAAAGTGTTGTGAGCTATTTTCCGTATAATTCATTAAAATTATAACTTAACAGTTTTCCCTTTTCAATATTCTTTCAAAGTTAGCATTTCAGTCTAAAATAAAAGTGAGCATGTAGGACATTAATTGTACTTGTCTGAAATGTAGTTATCTAAACTAAAGGCTTTAAAAGAATTATTTTCCATTCCATATATTAAAAATTCATCTTCTCAACTCATTTAATTACTGAGAATTTTCAAGGACTTTTAAATTATGTTTCCATAAAATTCACCACATCTTAGGATGAGTGTTTATTTCTTATTCCATGAAACGTCCATTATCAGCATAAACCAAGCTTGCAAATTAGAAATAGTAAAAACAACTTTACTATTTGCATTCCATTATCCTTGTACATGGTTTTAGGCTTAACTAGAGAAGGTATCTGCAGTTCTCTTGATAATTTTTTTTCTCTGCCATCACTCATCTAGATATTTATGTGATCTTAAAGTGGTTATATTAGAGAGAGAAAGAGAGAGAGAGAGAAAGAGAGAAAAAAAAGAGTACTGGTTTTGGTTAGATTTGATCCAAAGACAAATTTTTAGAAAATGAAGCTAGAAGCTAGGGGTCTTGAATAAATTGGCCTCACGATACATAGTTAAGCTGAAAAGATTTAGAATTTGAATTCACATATAATATTTACTATTGTTGGAATAATTATAATGAGCACTTAGAGATATGTTTTCTTTTGATAAGCTTTGTCCATGTATCCCAATTAATGCTGGCTTGGTATGATACTAAAACCTAAAATAACTTATTTTGAGCCTATGTCCTTATTACAATTCTAGAGGAAGCCTCTTATAAAATGTGATTAGAACACAGTCATCAAAGCAGGGGATCATTTAAAAAATGATACATGCAAAACTTAGATATTCTAACTTTAGTCATAATTGCATAGATATTACAACATTCATCATTCTTTTGATTTAGCTCTAAACCCGATACACTTTCTCTTTAGTTTGGGGGACTCACAAAGACTTTCTTGACTAAGCCACATACCTCATACATTGTATATAAATTTTCATTTTGATTTTTTAGAGTGGGATACATGACTATTAGAATCAATTTTAAGATACAATCCTAAGTTTTTATTATTTCCCAAAACATTTCATAGTTGTCTTATGCATATCTGTTTTTCCAGCAGCGCATCTCTATAGAGACTTCCCAAAGCATTCAAATTAATACCCTAGAGCTATTACTTCCATTTCTCGTTCTAGTACATTTGCTCACTTTACAAATAAATTATTTAAGCACAATAAAAGAAAAATTGGTAATTTATTTGGGGAAACAGAGGCTACTGATTCTGGATGCCCAAAACTCACTTTGGAGTAAGTGAGCATCAGTGAGTATATAACATTTTTTCTTTCCTGAATAAATACATTAAAAAGAGGCATTTTTATGTTAAGCAAAAGTTAATGTGTTGAGTCCATTAAAGAGATAATGATTAATTTTTTTCAGGAGCTTAGATTTTAAAATATATGTTTATAAGAGAAAATGTAATTTCCTAACTCTTTCTACTTTAAATATAATCAATTCTGAAAGTAAATATATTTAAATACACTATGTTATAAATGAAAGTTTATTTAAATGCATAAAACTGTGCCTACATTATTTTAAAATATGGATACGTATCTATTTTTGAGATTCAGTAAAAATAAGAAACAAATGCAGTAAATTCCAAGATGGCATTTGCTATTTTTCAGCACAAATAAAACTATGCAAATTTTCTGTTTCAAACGTAAAATGCCAGTTTTTGATTTTATTTATGTTATTATTTTTTAAAATTTCAACTTTTATTTTACATATGGGAGTACGTGTGCAGGTTTGTTACATGGATATATTGCATGATGCTGAGGTTTAAGGTATGGATCCTGTCAAACAAGTAATAAGCATAGTACCCAATAGATAGTTTTTCAACCCATCACCCTTCCCCCTTCCTCCCCCCTCTAATAGTCTCCAGTGTTAATTGATTCCATCTTTACGTCCACATGTGCTCAATGTTGCTCCCACTTACAACTGAGAAAATGTGGTAGTTGCTTTTCTGTTCCTGCATTAATTGTCTTAGGGGATTATGGCCTCCAGTTCCAACCATATTGCTGCAAAGGACATATGGTTTCATTCTTTTTAATGGCTGTATAGTATTCTTCCATAGTGTATCTGTACCACGTTTTCTTTATCCAGTCCACCATTGATGGGCACCTAGCTTGATTCCATATCTTTGTGATTGTGAATAGAACTGTGATGAATATGCACATGCATGTGTCTTTTTGGTGTAACAATTTATTTTCCTTTGGGTATATACCCAGTACTGGGATTGCTGTGTTGAATCGTAGTTCTGTTGGAAGTTATTTGAGAAATCTCCAAAACTGCTTTTCACAGTGGCTGAACTGCTTTACATTCCCATCAACAGTGTAAAATCATTCCCTTTTCTCCATAGCCTCGCCAGCATCTGTTATTTTTTGACTTTTTATTAATAGCCATTCTGAGTAGTGTGAGATGGTATCTCATTGTTATTTTGATTTGCACTTCCCTGATGATTAGTGACGATGACAATTTTTTCATGTCTGTTGGCCACTTGCATGTCTTCTTTTGAGAAGTATCCGTCCATGCCCTTCGCCCTTTTTTAATGAGTTATTTGGTTTTTTGTTTGTTGCTTTAAGCTCCTTATGGACTCTGGATATTAGACCTTGTTGATGCATAGTTTGTGAATATTTTCTGCCATTCTGTAGGTTTTCTGTTTACTCTGCTGATAGTTTCTATTGTTGTGCAGAAGCTCAGAAAAAGAGCTTAACTAGGTCCCACTTGTCAATATTTGGTTTTGTTGCAATTGCTTTTGGGGCTTAGCCAAAAATTCTTTGCCATGGCTGATGTCAAGATGGGTATTTCTTAGCTTTTCTTCTAGGATTCTTATAGTTTGAGGTCTTATATTTAAATCTTTAATCCATCTTGACTTAATTTTTGTATGTGGTAAAAGATAGGGCTCCAGTTTCATTCTTCTGCATTTGGCTAGTCAGGTATCCCAACAACATTTATTCAACAGGGAGTCCTTTCCCCATTGCTAATTTTTGTCAGCCTTGTCAAAGATCAGATAGTTTTAGGTGTGTGGACTTATTTCTGAGTTTTATATTCTGTTCCACTGGTCTATGTGTTCATTTTTGTAACAGTGCCATGCTGTTTTGGTTCCTGTAGCCTTATAGCATAGTTTGAAGTTGGAGAGTGTGATGCTTCCAGCTTTTAATACTATTGCTTAGGATTGCTTTGGCTATTCAGGCCTTTTTTGGTTCCACATGAATTAAAAAATTTTTTTTCTAATTCTGTGAAAAATTACATTGATAGCTTGATAGAAATGGCATTGAATCTGTAAATTGCTTTGGGTAGTATGGCAATTTTAATTATATTGATTCTTCCAATCCATGAGCATGGAATATTTTTTATTTATTTGTGTCATCTCTGATTTCTTTCAGCAGTCTTTTGTAGTCCCTTTGTAGAGAATTTTCATCTCTTTGGTTAGCTGTATTTCAAGGTATTTTATTTTACTTTTTGCTATTGTAAATGGGATTGTGTTCTTAATTTAACTCTCAGCCTGGATATTATTGGTACGTAGAAATGCTACTGATTTTTATACGTTGATTTTGTATCCTGGAACATTACAAAAGATGTGTATCAGTTCTAGGAGTCTTTTGCGAGTTTTTAGGGTTTTCCATGTATAGAATTATTTTATCAGTGAAAAGAGATAGTTTGACGTCTTCTTTTCCTATTTGGATGCCTTTTATTTCTTTCTCTTAACTTACTGCTCTGGCAAGGACTTGCAGTCCTATGTTGAATAGGAGTGGTGAGAGTAGGCATCCTTGTCTTGTTCCAGTTCTCAAGGGAAATGTTTCCAACTTTTGCCTGTTTAGTATAATGTTAGCTTTTGGTATGTTGTATATGGCTCTTGTTATTTTGAGTCATCTTCCTTTGACACCTAGCCTGTTAAGGGTTTTTATCATGAAGGGATGTTGGATTTTATCAAATGCTTTTCCTGTGTCTATTGAGATAATCATAAGGTTTTTGCTTTTAATCCTGTGTATGTGCTGAATCACAGTTATTTATTTGCATATGTAGAACCAACCTTGCATCCCAGAGGTAAAGCCTACTTGATTGTGGCGAATTAACTTTTTGATGTGCTGTTGAATACAGTATGCTAGTTTTTTGTTTTTTGTTTTTTTTTTAGATGGAGTCTCACTCTGTCACCCAGGCTGGAGTGCAGTAACACGATCTCAGCTCACTGTAACCTCGGCCTCCCTGGTTCAGGCAATTCTCCTGCCTCAACCTCCCAAATGTCTGAGATTACAGGCATCTGCCACCATCCCTGGCTAATTTTTTCTATTTTTAGTAGAGATGGGGTTTCACCATGTTGGCCAGGCTAGCCTTGAACTGCTGACCTCAGGTGATCTCTCCGCCTTGACCTCCCAAGTGCTGGGCTTACAGGCAGGAGCCACCACACCTGGCCATAGTTTGCTAGTTTTTTGATAAGTATTTTTGCATCTATGTTCATCAGGGATGTTGGCCTAAAGTTTTCATTTTTTGGTGTGTCTCTGCCAGATTTTGGTATTGGATGCTGGCTTCATAGAATGAGTTAGGGATAAGCTCCTTCTCCCTGACAATTTGAAATAGTTTCAGTGGGACTCGTAGCAGTTCCTCTTTGTAAATCTAGTAGAATTCAGCTGTTAATCCATTTGGGTTGAGGCTTTTTTTTTTTTTTTTGGGGTTGATAGTTTTTTTTTTTAATTACTGATTCAATTTCAGAATTCAGTATTGGTCTATTCAGGGTTTCAATTTCTTCCTGATTAAATCTGGAAGATTGTGTGTTTCCAGGAATTTATCCATTTTCTCTAGATTTTCTGATTTGTTGCATATAGAATTGTTTGTAGTAGTCTGAAGATCTTTTGTATTTCTGTAGAATGGGTTGTAATATTTGTCATTTCTGATTGTACTTATTTGGATCTTTTTTTTCTTTGTTTCTCTAGCTCACAGTCTATCAACCGTTTTTGTTCTTTTGAAGAACTGTTGATTTCACTGATGTTTTGTGTGAATTTTTACATCTCAATTTTGTTCAGTTATTCTCCACTTTTAGTTATTTCTTATCCTGGGATTGGTTTGTTCTTTTCTTCTAGTTCCTTTAGGTGCAAAGTTCAGTTGTTAACTTGAGATCTTTCTAACTTCTTGATGAAGGCAGTTAGCACTAAAAATTCCCTGTTAGCACTGCCCAGAGATTTTGGTAAGTTGTGTCCCTATTTTCATTAATTTCAAAGAATTTTTAAATTTCTGCCTTAATTGTAATGTTCACCCAGGAGTTATTCAGGAGCAAGTTGTTTAATTTCCATGTGTTTATGTAGTTTTGGGAGATCTTCTTGATTTTGCTTTCTATTTTTGTATTATGGTCTGAGGGTAGGCTTGGTATGAATTATATTCTGTTGAATTTATTGAGATTTGGTTTATTACCAAGCATGTGGTCAATCTTAGGATATGTTCCATGTGCAGATGAAAATAATGTATATTCTGGTTGTTGGGTGGAGTGTTCTATAGGTGTCTACTAGTTCTAATTGGTCAGGTGTTGAGTTTAAGTCTAGAGTTTCTTTGCTAGTTTTCTGCCTCAACAATGTATATAATGCTGTTAATGGTGTGTTAAAGTTTCCCACTATTATTGTATAGCTGTTTAAGTCTTTTCATAGGTCAAGAAGAATTCATTTTATAAATCTGAGTGCTCTGATGTTGGGTTCATTTATATTTAGGATAATTAATTCTTCTTGTTGAATTGTACCCTTTGTCATTATATAATGGCTTTCTTTGTCCTTCTTAATTGTTATAGGCTTACAGTCTGTTTTATCTGATATAAGAATAGTGACTCTTGGTCTTTTTTGTTTTCCATTTGCATGATAGATATTTAACTTCATGTCCACTACAAATTTGGTTTTACCCATATATTTCATATTTTTACTATTAGCTGTCTTTTTATAAATAATTGCCTCCTTAATGCAGTTTTAAACATAATAATTGTTTAGAGAAGCCTGTGGGTGTTGTTATGTGTGAGATAGGTCCCTCGAAGATAGCACAAGGTTGAGTCTTGTCTTTTTATCCAGTTCTTCACTCTATGTTTTTTAACTGGTGTGTTTTGCCCATTTAAATTCAGAGTTAATATTAATATGTGACTTGTTTATGTCATCATCTTGTTAGCTGATTGTTATGTAGACTTGATTTTGTAGATGTGTGATTTTAAAAGTCATTTAGTTTTTGTATAATTAAATACATGACTGCTTCTACTGCTACTAAGGAGAACAACAGAAGCTAACATTGCTATAGCATTTAAACTAATTTAAATCTAATTTAAACTAATTTAATCCCTTATGATAATTTTATGAGTGAGGTACTATTACTATGACCATTTTGTAGATGATGAAACTGAAGCACGGACTAACTAAGTAGCCCAAAGTTTGGGGCCTTTAACTTTGTAAGTGGTAGAGGCAACATTTAAAATGAGGGAGCATGGCTTCATCATGTTCTAAGCCATTACCACATTTTTACAAAATATGGAAGCAAATTCCATGTGTTTGAATTTTAACTTCCAATTGTCTTCTACCAAACTTGTATTTACTAAAAAGATTAATTTTAATCACCTACTAAATAAATCCATGCTAGCCGACTTAATTCATTCAGTCAGAAAAATCAGGTTGTTTAGTAAGAGAGCTGGTTTAACTTTAATTTTTTAAAACTGTATTGACTATTTGACTAAATTGGCTGGGACTACATGCAAAAACAACTTTGTTATGAATTAGAAGCTTGGGAACAAGCATTCTTGCTGAGATTCCTTAGTTAGTCAGTTAATCAATAACATTTACCAAATGCACTCTGAGGGGTTGGGAAGGTGAAAAAGATATATTAGACATGTAGTCTCAGACGATAAAGTAATTACAATCTAGTAGGAAACTTATATTCTTGATCTCTAAACATTTGAATTTGATGGTTGATTGGTGATATTATTCTGAGATCTTTAAGATACATTACACAGATCATATTTTTAAATAATTTTTTTATTTTACTTTAAGTTTTAGGGTATATGTGCATGCTGAAACGTAATGTGTATATGTGTTATACTCTGGTTGTTTTTCTACTTGTTTGATCCTGTTTTTTTTAATGAATGATAGTTACTCCCAGAAAAATAATGAACACCTGTACATATAATTTGAAAAAGTAACACATATTGTACCTTTTCTTTCACAGATGACTAAAACAATAAAATTAAACTTAGACAAGCACATCTTTTATTATGAATAAACGTTGTTGAGAATGGGTTTCAAACTGACCAAAAATACTTCTACCTTCGTTTACATATTCATGCATCATTTTCAAAGAATATTTGCAAGAACTTGAGAGAATCTTCCCAGTGTTTTTTTAAAAAAATTGAACCACTTTTTCTTTTAATGCTGACTTAGTAATACTTTCAAACACCCCCACCCACATTTGACTTTAGAGAAGACGTTTTAGAAGAAGGGGAACATTTTTTGCTCACTGCAAGTGTCATCTGACTATTTTTAAAGATTTATTCATCATTCATTCAAGGTAGCATAATGTCATGAGAATGCCAGCTTTGAAATTAGTAATCTGTCATGTCTTCTACTGGCCACTCTTGCAGTTTGATTAGATGCAAGTTTGCTTCTCTTTGAACATTTCAGTTTATTTTTTCTAAGAAATGATTATATTGTTCAAGATAAAGTATAAAATTATGTAGCTATCAGGAGTATTTATTGAGATATATACCACTGCAGATGTGAGAAATTAAAACATTTTTATGGCAAGTATCTTGACCTGAAAAAGCTTACTACTTACTGAAGATAGATGGAAAAAATCAATCTTTATTTTTAAGAAATTACTATTCAACCTAATTGATGAGTAAGCCTATGGCAGATATTGGTGCATATTAAATACAGGTATTCTCAGAAGAGTTACAGAACCCCAAACCAAATTGTTCCCTCCCTATATGGTCTTCAGTTGTAGTTTTTGCTTTCCGTTAGGAAGATGATTATAATTTAAAACATGTTCATCTTATGAAAAACTGTTTTTCCTCATCTGCATGAGAAGATTAACAAAGGTGAAGAATACTGTTTCTATGACACTTGTAGGTGCCTATATTCCAATTGCTAATTATTTTTCAATCTGATGGAAATGCGTAAGGATGAAAGAGCTGTGTTGCTAGAGTGTGTTTCATTTTGCTTCAGTAAGCACTGAAAAGGCAGAAGATGGCAGGGTAGGTCTTTAAATAGGTGATTTAAAAAAAATCTTCCTCTTTGTTTTTCTTCTCCTAAAATTACAGAGCAGACTTCATTTTATTTCCTAGTAAATATTCCACTGCCAGAGTTAGCTCATGTTTTGTTATTAACTCAAGTTGTTCACCAGTTTGCTTGTTCAACTTTCTCTAATTCAGGAGATTTTATGTCGCACAGGCTTGGAGTTTTCTTGATTGCCTTGTTAATGCTCTTATTTCCTAGCAATCAATTTAGTTTGATTGATATTTGTTATGCAGCCTAGTTAGTTCCTTCACTTGAATTTCATTTACAGGTTTTTTTTTTTAACTTACTTCCTTAGCAATCAGTTTGTCTTGATTGCTATTTACTTCCTGACTTCTTGATATTGCAAGACTGCATAAACGTCCTAATTACCTTTATGTCCACTGCAAATTTAGTTTTACTCACATATTTCATATTTCTGTTATTAGCTGCCTTTTGGTAAATAATAGCCTCTTTAATGCAGTTTTAATGCATTTGTTGTGAATATAGACAATGGTTTGAATGTATATTTGCTTACTTCTAACTTAGAACATAAAACATGTATATATTATCATGAGATACATTATAACTATTATAAAAACAATCACATTAGATTTAAAAACATAACCAGGGCAAAAAGTGAATAGGTACATACAGGTAAACTGTGGAGACAGCCTTAGGCTCCCTTAGAACACAGCAAGCTTAACCTGAACATCAGGTTTATCTCTCACCATTGGGAATTAAAAAACACAAAATACCAAACAAAAACTAGGTCACTAATAATGTTCTCTGTTTCTGAGAGTAATTTCAGACAGCACTGATAAACTGAATAATGTCTTCAGTATTTCCGAGAGCCTGAAGCAAACGTCTCCCAATTTAAATTGCTTCAAGGTGAAGCAGAAACTTCCTTGGAATGCCATATTTCTAATAGTTCCCTAAGAAAGGTAATTAAGTGTCTATTAGATTAGAAAAAACTGCTTTGCTTAATTCTATGAACCGTTGTATTTATTTTAATAAATATTTTAACCATCAAATAATCCTACAATGTCTTAAAAACATGAAAAATTAATTCTCTAGAGGGCCCCATTCAGTGGCTGGTAAATAGTAGATGCTCATTCAATGTAGATAAACTGTTCTTGGATCTATTTTACAATTTAAGACACTCAAGCTGTGAATCTTTGCATGTTCCTTCTCCACATTTAGGTGAGAGAATGTTTCATCTGCTCTCTACCTTAAGCAGACTGTTGTATAATCCTGCCTTCTGCTCAATATTTATGGAGACTAGATCCAATGCAAGCGTGATTGAAGAATCGTAAGGGAAGATGTTCTGCAAAATGAGAGCCATGTCTCTACATCTAGTAATGTTATCAGTAGTTGTAAAACTCACAATATTCTTCCAGCAAGCCTTTCTGCATGCCAGAGTATGCAGGTGCCATAAGAGCTAAAAAGTTTCAAATTTAAGAGTAATAAATAATTGTATCATTGAAGTAACTTTAGAATAGAGGCGATAGGTTAACTGGCATTTGTATTAGGAAATAAGAGGGTGGTCAAATAATCAGAGAAAACTTAGAGAATGTGATTTGTTGTTTTCAATCAGGTCTTGAAGAAGCTTATGAATGATTTGGTATTAAAGAAAAGAACAGTGAAACAATGTTAGGATAACAGTTTATCTGAAGGCCGAGAGGTTAAAGTGGGCACAAGAGCCTAAAATACAGGAATTTATGTAAGTGCGAAAGGACATTTGCAGAAAGGTTCAGAATCATTCCCTAAGTAGGATTTTACCTTAATCAACAATAAAATGATGCTTTTTTTAATGACATTTAAAGCTTTGTAGTGTATGAATGTTTCTTACATCTCTTGCCTCTTGAAAGAAATATTTTTGCCTACACTCTACCATTCAAATTCTAGTCATTCTCTAAGGCCCAGTACAAATGTATATATCATTATATAAGTAGTTATAATATTATATCTTATTTATATGATTTATATATATTTATATTATTCTTATGTATTTATATTTATACCAACATTATTTTTATATAATTTATATATTTCTTAAACTTCTTTTCACCTAATATATTGTAAGGCTACACCACCAGCACAGAGCGATATCTCTTTCTGGATCTCTCAGCAATTAATCATTTATTCTATTGATGCAAGCTTTTAGTTTTGTTGTTATTTTTAATTGAGGAATACTTTACATACAAAATAAAATGAAGATCTTAAGTGTTCAGTTCTATGAGTTTTATAAATTATACACAGCCATATAACTACATCCACATCAAGATTAGAACATTTTCATCACTCAGAAAGTTCTGTTTTGCCCTTTTCTAGTTGATGTCCCTTTTCTGAATTTTGTTGTTATAAGATTAGTTTTTCTGGTTATTTATATTTATGGAATTGCATTATATATATGTTATATGTGTATATCTAGTATCTTTTAAGTGACATGTTTTTAAAGTTCATGCTTATATTTTTAACTTTTTTCCTGTGTATTTCCAAGTAATATCTCATCCTATAAATATACAGTAATTTGCTTATCCATTTTCCTGTCACACATTTGTAATGCTTTGTAATGTTTCCAATGAGAAAATGGTTGGTGTGTGTTAATTGTATAAGCAACCACAAAAACAATCTTCCAAAGTAATTGTACTATTTTGCACTCTCATCAGAAATATATGAGAGTTCCTTTTGCTCCATATAGTCATCAACAATTGTTGTTGCTAGTCTTTCTTACTCATTGTAGTCTTTTGTAAACTTTCTCTACAAGGCTTTAGGCTATTTTTAATTGGCTTGCTTGTCTTTTCATTATTGACTGTTAGGAGTTTATTATATAATCTGGATATAATCTTTCATTAGAGAGGTACAGGAAATATATTTTTTCTAATCTATGGCATGCCTATTCATTTTCTTAAATTCTTAGGTTTCTTAACATTGTTTGTTGGTGAGCAACATTTTTTAATTTAGATGAAGTATAAGTTATTAATTTCTTTCTTGTATAATTAGTGTCATTGCTGACGCTAAGTTCACAAATATTTTATGCATTCTTCTGAAAGCTATATGGTTTTGAATTTCACATTTTGTCTATGTTCGTCTTGGGTAAACTTTTGTGTATAGAGTGAGATAAAGGCCAAAGCATATTTATCTCCAAAGTTTATGTTTTCCATGAAGCTTTGTGAGTTTTTAAAGCAAATATACTAATCCGGCTCTTCATTTTTCTTAGTCAAATTTTCACATAATAGCCTATCTTCTCAATACGTTTGTAAGTATATTGAGAACCAAAATTATTTTTTAATATTTTTCCATAACTTTACAGTGTGGATTTTACTTTGTTTTTAAAAAGCAAATTGTATTTGAAACAATGATTCCAAATATTGTGCGCATTAATATTGATTTGTGATTGATTAAATAAATCAAAAATTCTAATAGGAGTGTTACATGGAACAACTAAAGAAAACTAGAAAAGGAAAGAGTAGTATTTACAAGATATTTTCTTTTAGAAGCAACCTTTTGCATTTAGATTGTTTTCGATGTTATCAAAACATTAGATAAGGTTTTTCGAAATGTCAACATAGGTAGCTTCCTGGTCAACAAAGCCAGCATTACTCCTTTATTTACACAAAAGAAGTGGGTTCACAGACTGGCAAAGAGTGATATCTAGTGGGATTACCTTAATGTCTTGATGGCATATATTCTCATTTATTTAATTTTCACTTTGCTGTATGATTCCTACCAGTTAAGACAGGAATGTAATGTGCTAATTAAATTATTGAAATAGTTAAGCATATTATATATCTTTTTATGGAGAAATCAGATGTAGTGTATTTAGGAAACCTTATTACTTAAATTCAAATTCATTACTTCTGCAAGTTTCTCTGGAGATAGCACAACAAGCAGTATCTTTTATATTCTCAAGGAGGTTAGAGTCTGATGCTTTTTCTTCGAGATGGAGTTTTGCTTTTGTTGCCCAAGCTGGAGTGCAGTGGTGCAATCTTGGCTTACTGCAACCTCTGCCTCCTGGGTTCAAGTGATTCTTCTGCCTCAACCTCTGGAGGAGCTGGGATTACAGGTGCCTGTCACCAGGCCCGGTTAATTTTTTTGTTTTTTAGTAGATATGGGGTTTCACCATCTTGGCCAGGCTGGTCTCGAAATCCTGACCTCAGGTGATCCACCCGCCTCGGCCTCCCAAAGTGCTGGGATTACAGGCATGAGCCACCACGACTGGCCAGAATCTGGTGTATTTTTAAGCATCATATGTACTCTTAAACAGTGTGTTGTCCTCTACATGACACAAGTGTATATGCGGATGAAATAATTTAGCTACCTGTCAAAACGGTAATTATTTCTAGCAAAAAATAGCAAAAGATAACCTGTTTTCCAAGAAGCCCAACTTTACTTTTGTGAATGCCTGAGGATTGCTAAGAGGCAATAACATTATAAGTATTGCTAAAGTGGCAGGCTGTAAATAGAGCTGACTGAGCAAAGTTGCCATGGGAAACTTGTAGACTTTTCCAAAAACGGAAACTGAACCAAAAGCATTGATAGTAGTTGAAGTCTGGGGTCTGAGAGAAAGTCCTTCTGCCTCCTATTGAATGTGCCTACCAGGCTGCTAGAGAATAGGTGGGTTTGTGGACATATGCTCTGCTTATCTATCCCTTTGCAAATTCCCTTATATCAGTTCACCTTCAAACTCAGCACGTCAGGTAATGAACACTGAGAAATGAAAAAGAAGTTTGGAAATGGAAATGAATCTTCTCATGGAAAATTTGTCTTGAATTTAGCCCGTAAAGGGTAATCTAAAATGGCTTACAGAGAGGATTTTATAGGACTTTTTTAAGTTGCCGATAGGGTCCATGTTTGGCGTGCTCTCTCCTGCTCCTTCATTTGTTTTTTCTTTCACGATTGCCCCTGCTAATACTCTCCCTCTAGTTACAAAATGAAAAACATGTGACTTGAAGAGGGTTTCTTTCCTGAGGACAAATGAGCAACACTTGAAGTGGAATACCAATTTTTTGACCCTAGCCAGCAGTGCCTGATCATTCCCTCGCGTATTTTAGCAACTCCCTTGCCTGCTGAACCACTAACATAGTAAATAGTAGAATCCTGCTCTCAAATAATGGCCAGAAAATGTTCAATTTTGGTTTCCTTGCACAATTCACTAATACAGTATATGTTTCAATAATTATGTTTTACAATTAAGTTATATCAAAACTCCTGACAATAATTGATAAAAAAAATGGAAACAGTACATTTTGGAAATTAAATGTAGGAGCTAATTACTTCAAAGGACATTGTTGACAGATTTCATTTTAATGTAGAAAGGATATTTATTATTTTGGTTTATAAGTCTTTGTTGAGTTTATTAAGCAATTTGTGTTGAGAAAGAAAATGTGAATCTAAAGATTTAGTAGAACAAAGTATTACCTTGTTATAATAAAAATCCTTTAAGTTAAAATTTAAGGCGTTTCTAATTTGGAACCTCATTTCTGAGCTGTTCAGATTTAACTGAATCTATTTTTAAAAAACTTAAGTAGAATATAGCACATTATCTCTTCCCACCCTTTTTTAATGAGTAGTTTTTATTGATTGATGAAACAGGAGTTGTGTTAGAAATATTATGTGTATACTTTTAGGTAACTGAGCACCATTTTGATATCAATCACATTTTAAGAGAAAATAATTGCTTATCTTTAATGAGAGTTTCTTCTATTACTGATTTTTATTTTAAAAGTACAATTTTCTGACAATAGAAACATTTTTCAGATAACATGTACTTATACTATACACTGCCTGCCAATAGATTTTGCCTTTCCTGATTAATAATGTTGGCTTGTGAATTCTAAATTCCAAAGGGACATATTTTCACAAACAGAATCAGTGACATATTAAAACTATACGGGGTTAACTCATAAAATGCTCTCACAAAATATTACCAATAGATTCTATTCCAACTTAAACAGAAACTTAAAAATAAGTTCACATTATGGACAAATTAAATAGATGAACTTAATGATTGAAATGGCCTTATACTTTTATAAATAGATGAAAATTAATGGAAAAAAATATATTAGGTATGTATTAATGAATTAATTTTCAAAAACAGAGTTTTTGCTTCATAATGACTACATATGTAAAAGATTTTGTAGAAGTTGTACTCTAAGTGTAGGTTAATAGACACTAAATTATTTTCAATAGACAGAACTTAGCCACATGATCCTGAAAACATATTCTAGGAAAAATTTAAATATTGTGTTATATTGGAAACAGGGAAGAATTGGAAGAATGGGAACAAAGTTATTTATTTAATGTTAAGATTCATTACTAAAAATTAAATATTTGCTGACATTATAGTTTTATCATAAAAATAAGGATAGTGTAACAATATCTATGATATAATATATTTAAAATCATGTATTTAAACATGTTGTGAAAGAATTTGTTCCCTATACTACAAAAGGTTTAGTTAAGTCATATTAATGAAAATAATTCAAATGGCTCCTATAATGTATATTTTGAGTGAATACATTTATGATTATAAATCACCTTAAATTTTTCCTGTAAAGAAAGCAAAATGTATCTGTGGGCTTAAAAAAAATATTGATCACTTAAAATGAAAACTCTTGTGAGAAATTCTTGAGCAATGTTGGTTTCAAAGGCTCTTTGACTTCAGGAGAAAGAATATAGAAGGCTACTGAATTTACATTTTCCATTATTTATTTTCCAAATTAATTAATAGAACTAGATCCCACCTTCTTTATATTTGGGTTGTATTGAATATTGGATGAACATATGGAGAGCTCAGATTTATGTAAACTCACCTAGGAAATATGAATGAATGATGACCATTAACTCTCACCAACACAAAATTATTTTTTAAATAAAATTATGATTATAAGGTATTTTCTGAGATTCTTGTATATTAAAATCTGGCATAATGGTATTGGTAATGAAAACAATGTCTGAGGTTCTAACTGACCATAATTGCACACTCTATTGTATTGCTAGTGAACCGTTTAGCAGATTCCATTCATCTTAGAAGCCTTAGATTGATTAAAAAATTAATGATTGATGACAATTAAGACTTAGACTCTATAAAATAAGATGTAAACATCATGGGTTGCTGATTATTTCTTTTTTGCTATTTAGAAATGTAGAAGAATGCTTATTTAATATATACAAGTTAGATTATATCAAACTTTTCTGTGCCTTTTGTTTCTGTCATATGGCATTGAAATATTGTACAGTCCTATAGTAACACTTTAGGATGTTATATTATGAAATGGAATACTGTATATTTTCAAAGACATATTGTAATATAAATCCCCAATATCTATCTGAAATTTAAGAAAATTGTTTTGAGAGGAATATCATTTGTCTTAAGGTTATATATGTACTTAAGAGTGTTAATAGTACTTTGTTTAGTGTTTTTAATGAAAGATGGTGTGTTGAAATATGCAGGTCTAGAAGCTTTAAAATTAGCTGTAATATAATGTGTTTCAAAAAAATTAATATTGGGCTGGGTGCGGTGGCTCACGCCTGTAATCCTAGCACTTTGGGAGGCCGAAGCAGGTGGATCACCTGAAGTCAGGAGTTTGAGACCAGCCTGACCAACATGGTGAAACTCTGTCTCTACTAAAAATACAAAAATTAGCCGGATGTGGTGGCAGGTGTGTGTAATCCCAGCTACTTGGAAGGCTGAGGCAGGAGAATTGCTAGAACCCAGGAGGCGGAGGTTGCAGTGAGCCGAGATCGCACCATTGCACTCCAGCCTGGGGGACAGGATAAGACTCTGTCTCAAAAAAAAACTAAAAATAAAAATAAAAATAATATTCAAATGGTCTGAACCATGTTGAATGTAATAGTGTCATTGTTTGGTTGGAACATGTTAAAATGTTAAGATTTTTGTCAAGGCTGCAGTTGTACATGTTGAAACTAATGAAGAATATGGTGATTCTACAGAAAATACAGTTAAACATTTCTGTCATGAACCTTCTATAGTCATGTACAATATTTTGGTCTGGTACACTATTGACTCAAGTGGAAGTAGTGATTCAACAGCTTACTCTTTTAAGTATGTCTTTGGAATCAGGGGACTGAGATGCTATTCTTGGAATAGAGAGGCATCCATTATATGGCCCTCATAGCAGTCAACTATTTTCTGAGTAAAATAGTGATTATAAGACATTTTTCTGGGAATTTTGCAAATTACATCAAGATTGCCAGGTTAAATGTAAGAGCTAGGGACTAAATTTTGATGTTATAATACACAAAAGAGGGATGGGTTGTTCATTGCCACAATATTCTAGTGACAGTAAACCCTGACACCTCTGTTTCCATTCTGTTTTAGTAGAAGAAAAACGTGAGCAAATTGAAGGAAATCCAGAAAAGTTTTAAAGATGAGAATTACTCAGAATACACAGATAGATCAGGAAATGAATAAGACAGTTCAAAATTAGTCAATATCTGAAAGAGAGGAAAGCACTAGTTAAGGAAAGAAATTAATGATTTGAAATTTATCCAGAAATAATAAAAATAATATGAGAAATATGTGGGCATTATTATTAGCAAAAACTACCTTGGTAATGAAACTTGAGTAATAAAAGAGAATAATCTCTCATGGAAAGATAATGCAATTTCTCTTCATTTAGAGAATCTGAAACTCAGCAAGCTAAACCTTCAGCAGCAGTGCCAATGTGGTACCAAAAGGACTAGATAAACAGTGAGCCTTAGATCTAGTATTCATGGTTCAATAAATACTTTCAAATAAGTATAATCCGTTGGCATGTGCTCTTTAAGATATGCAATGCGTTAGAATTATTGGCACTATTTGAATTATATACACTATTGTGTTTGTAATTTTTTGGTTCAGTTAAGTTATAATTAGGGAACTTTAGATCTCTTACTGTCAAGTCAAAATTCAGGAGCATTGCCGGCTGGTTCAAGGAACATCTGTTACATTAAATTTTATGATTTTCGCATGAGTTATTGCTCTATCTGTTGAGAGTGTCTTGTTTCCCTCGAATTTAACTTTAATTTTAAACATTTGTAGAAAATGTTTACATCACAATAAAGTTGTACATAAGATTTAAACACTCATAATGGAAAATGAATTGTGTGTTGTCACTCATGTCTCTACATAGCCAAAAGTAATGTAAATAATGGTACAATTTTTGACTGTTATATAGCAGTTTTCAGAATGCAACTTAGACTTGTTTTACACATATTGGAAAACCAAGATGAATTTTTATTTCAGTTAAATACTCCCTGGCATCGGTGTCCAAGGCCTAAGAGTGGGATTGGGGGGTGAGGGGGACGATAGATTCTTCCTGATTCTATAATAAAATGACTCAGCAGTTCCCTGTGAGCTTGGATGTATACACATATGTTTGTGATAAATCCTCTGACTATATTTCTTACATACAGAGTGAGGAGCAATTGAAACACATCAAAGGAATATGTGTCCTTCATCAGCAAAAGACAAGAAAAAAGGATGATGGACAATTTTCATTTTACTTGGGGCATGAAAATCAAGTTACTTAATTTTTTTTTATGGAAGGAGTGTTTATACTGCTCAGTTTTCAAATCTCAATCATATATTTTATTATGTCTGGATATGTTACATTTCACATTAAAGCTATATGTTTAGATATAACCAAGGAGGCATCATTATAAACCATATTTCTAGATGCCTTTCTTCCCTACTTGGGGTGTCTTGGATAGAGCTGAAGCTTATTCATGTAAACCATTGATGATGCCTTAAGCCATACTTACTCACAAAGAAGTGTAGTGAAAATAAAACATCTTAAAATATTTGTGATTGAATTGATGGGTAATATGAAACTGATTCATTCATTGGAATAAATAGGAAAAGAAGTTTTAATGATTCATGAGAAAATGGAAGTTAGGTTCAATTGTTAACCAGAAAAGGATGTTGTATTCTCAAATAAAGGCACGATGATAAAGGAGCCTATACATTGAGAGGGACAGTCTTTTTAAAGCAAGACACTTTAACATCCATTTGGTCTCTTCTAGAGGAAGCACTCTCTATTAAAACAAAGATTAGAATGATTTTAAGCCTATACATGTCAGGAGAATGAGATATTTTTTGACTTGTTATTTTGGCTAACAAGTATATTTTCATTTCTGTGATTCCTCATTTGCAAACTGATTAAAGTGGTTTTAGTACAGTGTTTCCTGTGGTCACGTAGGACTGTCTTAGGCTGACTCAGAATCTATGATCCAGGCACATTGTTATCGTAGCATTTCTTAAACTGCAAAAGTAACAGATTTCCCTACTGTAATAATTCTGATTAACAGCGTAAGTTCTGAGACAGGCCTGATTCTAAATGTCAGTCATGACCTCTTATATCCTAATCATTACACAGTTCAGTAGAGAAGAAAAGTAGTTGAATTTGTACTCAGACATGTGTTAAGTACAGAAGCCACCAGAGGTGAAGGTCTATCCTTCAGAGCAGTTCAAAAGAGAAAACATCCAAGAGCTCTGAGCCTGCATATTACGAGGGAGGCTTGACAGATGTACAAAGAGGAACTTTGGCTAAATACAATTCAGGTACAGTAAAGTATAACATTACTTCTCATCACTAAAATACAACCACCCCATGTCCTGGAATTTGATGCACAAGGTTAAAAAAGCAAAACAAAACAAAACTTTAAAATGTAGAACTATTTTAAAGAATTATCATAAATCAGAACTCTCCTTCATAAAGGCCTGATAATTTAGAGATTATCATCTATGCAATTGTGTTGTTATTCAAAGTAAATTAACTCCTGGCTTATAGTACAGTATTAATTTTGCATGACTGGAATCACATTAGAGACCATGTTACTCCTAGCAACATTACTACTAACATTTACTTGGTGATTTTATACTAATTTACCTGGATATCCTTATGAGTAAAATGCATTGTACAAATACATGTAAAGTAGAATAAACTCCTATATTTGTGAATAATTTCTTCCATAATGTATTAGACAAATTTCAAATTTGGATTTAGAAAGCAGCTTATTGAACAATCTAATTCATTTTCTCTTAAACTTAGTTTATCATCACCATATCCTGGGTCATTATCCCGTATTATATTAAAAAAAGAGTTCCAGGCTTCATTACCAACCTACTGAATCTGAATCTACTTAGCAGAAGGGGTGTGGCATGGAATCAAAGAGGATGGAATGGAAAATACTAGAAAATTGAAATTTGAAATAAATCACTAGATTTTGATGATTTAAATATATAGAACATTATCTAGTAAAAAAACTCATTTTATAGATACAGATATTAATTAATTCATCCATGCATATATTTACTCAGCATTTCAATGCAAATATGTAATTAAAAATAATTAAAATAAAAATTAGATATCATCCCTATCGGCAGAGACTTTATAACCTAAAGTCATGAGTTATGTAAGTATTTGCGTGCAACCCATGTCAACAGAGAATAAATTATCAATGTATTGTTAGTGGTATGGATAGCAAGAGTTGTGATATCATGGAAAAGATCTGAACTAGATATCATGATTGTAGCTCATGTAATTTTTCTAAAAATCAGTATCCTTGCTGATAAAACGAATGCACTAATTTAGATTATTTCCAAGATTCTTTTTAGCACAATAATCTTAAAATTATGTTATTTCAGAGAAGGGTGAGTGTGAGGTGGAAGGATGGTGGAATTGTGAAAAAATAGGACTTGAGACTGGTAGATGGATAAAGTAGGAGAGCGAGTTGGGAGAATGCAAAGTTGGTGGAAGGAGAGGAGTGAGTTAAGACAAAAAACTGGATGGTGAAGTATCAAGTTTTACTAATAATTTCAAACATATAAGCACTTGAGAGACACAGGTGAATAGGAGGGACCTGGGACTCCAAAAGGAGCTCCCGAGGTCCGTCCTTTCATCAAATTCACATTTTTGGCCCAGAGTAGTAGAAGAGGTTCCTCTGAGAAGTGAGTTACCTCACCCAAAGGGAGTATTTTAAATTATAAAACATTTCTATTGTATGTACAAATAATTACATAGCTTATGTGACATTTATAGGGAACCATATTCCACAAATGTATAGACCCTAGATTTGTTTCCTAGAAGAAATCCAGAAATCCTAAACCATGGACCACCTAATAAAACATTTATATACATTAGGATTCTTAATTCATTTGCTTCCCGTGAGAATGATTACTAGCATGTTTACTAGAGGGTGAGACTAGGTTAACCTGCTTTCTTTCATTCTCATTAGTGTCCCCAGTAATAGGTAGAAAAATAGATCATAGACTAGCTTCCAAAGTCTTTCTTTCCCAGGGAAAAATGTATATGTTTAGGAATAAACATGGTATAGCAAGATGTCAGGATCTAATTTGAAGATAAATCTCTATTTTAATTGTATCAACATTTAAAAAATTGATTGGGGTTAATTTCTACTGATATATAACTAGCTGTGCCTCACTAAAGAAGAATTTAAAGTTTGAAAATGTAAAATATTGTAAAAGAAAAGAGATTTTATTTAAAATTGATTCTTCTAACTTTATTTCAGAATACATGCTTAGATGGCACTTTGTGGGAACAGTCGGTAGGGAGAAAGAAATGACTCAAGATTATGGCACAACTTCAGGATCAACAGAATTTGATTCTGTTCAGAATTTTCAGATTCAGAATTTTCTCAACCTATTAGTCCCATTCTGTTACTGTCTATATTTTGTTAAAGTTAATATGCAAAGTAAAGCATGAGATGTGCATTTGTTACTCATTTTATCGCTATTAGCTTTTACTACTGGAAAAAGTTATCAGCAGTTTTGCTGGGAACTGTCATATTTCTGAATTTGATGTAATAATTTAAAAATATGCCTTTTTATGAGATTTCAACTAAAAGACATCCTCTGTCCCTTTAAATTTATTTTGTGGTCACCAGAACTCACATATCGAACTAAAGTTTACATTTGAATTTTTACTTTTCACGAATTAGATTTTTACTAAACTGTTGCATTCTTAAAATTACTTTAATGAAAGTTGTCTCTATAATTCATATGTATAGACATTTATGTATTAAAGGATATTTATGTACTAAAGCTAATTCTTGTCAACCCTTATACAAAATGGGACTTATTTTAATTGTAACTAAAAGCTAATTACAGATACATATATATATATATATACACACACACTTTTTCTAATTAGCCTCACAGAAAAATTTATCACATAGTCTGTAGGGAATGTGTAATGTGCTATTTACCAAAGTGACAGCAATCAATCTATTATGTAATTTTGATTTTCATAATAGTAATTTATGAAATTAATTAAAAAGGCCAACATGAGATGCTGCATTTAGGCATTTTTTTCAATTATGACTTCATTTTTTTAGTATAATGATTTCAATATATAGCCTTTCAATAAATCAGACAGATGCAAGTTATTCCTCTTACATCTCTAAAATTGGAAAAATATATTTGAGTATCAATGAAGGAAATAAAACTGTAATTTTAAATTACATCCAATTCTGCTAATTAAGTAATTATTGAAGACAAAATAACTCATAGAGAAGCCCTATATATTCCATATTTTTCCAGTCTCTCCTCATTTAATATTCTTATTTAATTATGAGGTATAGAATATTAGAATTTCATTACTGGCATCTGGAAGCAAAGATAAGATGGTTGCAGGCTTTCTGGTATGGCATTGTGTGTGACGTGAGCTGACTCACAGCATAAAGGGAAATGAGAGAGAGTGAGTGTTCCTTACTGAACTTAATTGTACATAAGAGCTCCTCTGTAGCGTTGCTTTGGGGGTATCTGCCATAGAACTCTCTGATAATGATTTCTCATCAGTGGACCAAGATGCCATTAAGTCATTCTCCTTGTTAAAATCTGCTTATTGATGAGTTTCACTTAAAAATTAAATTCAGGTCACTTCTGGACAATTGTCTTCTAATTTTTTTGTTCTCTACATAAATGGAAAATAAGTCTATAATGTTTGTCATCCAATTAAAATTTTATATAATGAAGACTGTGTTTATCAAAGACAAAGTAACTGATTCAACTTGTTCAAAATGGACCATTCATTGAAATGTTCACCCTAGTTATATGATGCTGTAGAGACAAAAATATGGTTGACAATGTTTGCCTTCTGAAATCTCTGAAATGATATGATTTAGTGCAAATGTCTCTCAAATGTGTTTTTCTTTTAGTTAAAAGTAATAATGATTAATTCTGTCATCTTTCTCATTTTTCCTGAGGTAATAGGTATTATCAACTTGATATACATCTTATTACACCTTATTCTATGCTAATAAACATAGAAATATGTATAGACATATATAAAATAGAAGTGACTTTAAGTTTATTTTACAAAAATAAGGTCATAGTAGATAAGTTTGCTTTCTGTTTTTAAGGTACCATGATATCCCTACAGGTCAATAGAAATAATTAAAATATTATTTTAAGCAGCCACATAGCATTTCATAAATTGAATGTAATATAATTTGTGTGATCATTCTAGTGATACCAATTTGTGTTGTTTTTAGATTTGTTTTGGCTTTGCTGCTATAAATATGCTTCAATAAACACATTTCCAACTGGCACACCTTTTTCTCCAGGATAGAGTTCCGAGAATGGAGTTTCTGGGTCAGAGGATGTATGTGTTTTTTAAAAATATTACTGTATTACCTTCATAAATGGCTGTAGTAATTTACATCCCCACCAGTCATATGTGAGATTTACAATTTATGTATGTTCTTGCCATTCTAAATGCTGTTAATGATTTTATTTTATTTTCATTTTTCTTTTTGACTAATCTGATTGGTTAAAAAATCTATCATATCTAATTATTATTTATATTTGCAATTCTTTGTCTGCATGATACCTTGAGCATGTGTTTTTGCTTTCTTTGACATATTAGGTTTCCCTGTGTCTGATTTTCCTGTTCTTATACTTTAGTTTATACTTTTCTTATCAATGTATAGATGTTCTTTTATGAGACATTAATCATGTATCTCAAGTGTGTGACAAATATTTTTCCCTATAAGCCTTTGTGGTAGGGGACTAGCTACCTCTCCTACATCATACCTTTACCTCTATACCCCCTGCATTTACTTCCAGCTACTCTGATTTCCTGACTTAACTGTCAAACAAGACAAGCCTTTGTATTAAGTCCTCAACCTGGGAAAGCTCTTCCACAAGAAATTTACATGGCTCACTCATTTCATTCAAGACTAAAATAACACTGTTGTAACTCTCTCTCCTCATTTGGTGTTATTTTTACTCATAGAAGTAGTATTTCTCATTACTGTGTATTATGTATCTCCTGTGTGCTATCACTTATGTTATACAATCTCCATGACAACAGGAGTGTCTATTTTGTTTACTTTGTGCCCCCGCACACCCAACATTTAAAACACTGCCTAGTACACAGTAAATACATATTTAGATTTGATGAATAAATAATTTGTTTTTTGTTTTTATTGATGATATCCCAATTTTTAAAAATCTAAAAATCACTGAAATCTCTCAAATAACTTGTATTAAAACTTCTGGCCTAGGACTGCATTATGTCTGTACTTTTAGTTAGGGCATTTCCCTTTCCAAATCTTTGTTTGTAGTAATATAGGCACTACTCAGTATTCTCAAATACCTATCAGTGGACTCTTCATTATTTACTAGTCCTTAGTCTCACATTGTAAAGTTTTTAGCAATAATTAGATCTTAGAGCTGAGCATAATTACCCCACTCACTGTCCTCTGAGGCCATCACCATTTACACATCTCTTACTCTTAACACTTACACACTCCAATCTCAGGCCCTGTGCCACTGCCGAGGCGACTGCTGCTTCCTACCTGTTGTAGGCAGAATCTTGTTCCCCCAAATTCATATGTCAAAGACCTAACCCCAGTACTTCAAAAAGTAACCATTTTGAAGATAAGATCTCTAAATAGGCGACTACATTAACATGAGGCCATTAGGGTGGGTTCTAATTTAACCTGATTAGTGTACTTATAAAAATAGAAAATTTGGGTTTACAGAAAGGGACACTAAAGATGCATGTGTGCGGTGGAAAGACCACATGAGGACACAGAGAAAGTGGTCATCTGCAAGCCATGGAGAGAGGCCTTGGGAGAAGATAAACCTGTTGACAGCTTGAATATGAAGAATACTAGGATATTAAAAAGTCGATGATAATAGAAAAGAGAAAAAAGTCATTGCTGATGCCCTTCTCCAAGAAGCTGAGGAATTCTATCTAGCTGCAGCAGCCGGCTTTGTAGGAGCAGGTGTGCCATTAAACACGGAGAGTAGAAAGGATGGTGCAGGTTAGCTAAAAACAGTCCAGTGTCAATGGCAAAGATTCTGATCTAGCAGGCAAAGGAGAGCATGGCAGAAGAGGAAGCTCTGAAAGTAGGAAAGTCTAAAATTAGAGACAGTGACAAAGTTATGATGCTAGGTGATCTTCAGAATTGTGACATGCTTCCTATGCAGGAGAATAAAGTAGAAGGCTTGGGGAAGAAAATCTAGCCAGGATGTTGGGAGACCTGCCCATAGACTGGAGTCAGGTACTAGAAAGAAATGGATTTTCTAGGTCAAAAATGTAAAACAGAAATCTTGTTCTAGACCAAGTCATCAAGGAAGGCAGCAGATTGGAAATACTGTGACTATGGAAATATGTGACAATTTAGAATTCATTACTGCATTCTGGATGTTAAGCTGAAGCATCTGATAAACCTTTTAATGCAGGCACATCTTACGGAAAAAGGTAGAATTCATCTGTGATTTTAGTCACGAAGATCTGGGAAATCCTAGGCAGACATGTTTAATTCTGTTCTGTTCTTTTATTTAAAATCAAAGGAGGCCGGGTGTGGTGGCTCATGCCTGTAATCCTAGCACTTTGGGAGGCTGAGGCAGGCGGATCACTTGAGGTCAGGAGTTCAAGAGCAGCCTGGTCAACATGGCGAAACCCCATGTCTATTAAAAATACAAAAAAAAAAAAAATAGCCGGGCGTAGTGGTGCATGCCTGTAGTCCCAGTTACTCAGGAGGCTGAGGTGGGCTGAGGTGGGAGAATTACTTGAACCCGGGAGGCGGAGGAGGTTACACTGAGCCGAGATCACGCCATAGCACTCCAGCCTGGGTGACAGAGTGAGACTCCATCTCAAAATAAGTAAGTAAATACATAAATTAATTAATTAAAAGGAACTGTCTACCTGATATGCAAAGCCCCATATGGAAGTGGGAGGGGAGTAAAATCATATCCCAATTTTCTTAGCTAGTGTTTCCTAATCCATCTTTCCCCATACCCAACATTGAAACATACATGATGCCAGCTGCTAGGTGATTTTCCTAAGTCCAGCTTCCGAATTACCCTTACAGCCAATGTAAGATAACAGCAACTAGCAATTGTGTAGACTTTTTATTTTTTGCTAAATTTTTTTTTCTCATTTTAAAATAAATTATAGACCACACTTAGATGTCTGCCGGGTGGTGGGGAGCGGGGGGAAAGCTGTTCTGTAGTTTGTTGTACAAGTGCAGGGCTCCTCAAAAGAATTAAAAAGTGAGTGGCAGCGCATACATTTTGGGGACTTAGTGAAAAGAAGTGCCCTTCATGGTGTTGTTGGAAATGTTCCTGTATTCCCAAGTGTGCCTTGATTATGAAAGCAGTGCCAAAATTAACAGACATGTTTTTTAGCATCTATAAGCTGTATATGGTAAGTCACAGAGGAGACTTTCAAAGTGGCCCTATTGAAAGCATTGGAAGAGTGGCGTTTTAGAATAAAATACTGTTAACTACTCTGATTAAATTAGACATATAAATGAAGATGTTTTTCAAAAGTGCTTCAGATAATCAGATACATTTCTGAAAAAAACAGTCTCATTCTAGTAAAAGCACAAACTACTGACACTTGAAATAGCAAACAATATTGTGGTTTGATCTGAGAGGCATTTTTATCTAATACGTTCAAACACATGAAGAGAAACATCACTTATTGAAGGCCTGAGACACCATGCTCAGTCTGAGTTGTAATTTGAGCATGCATAGAGAACTGCTTGGATCCTAGACCCTATACGTTACTCATCTTATAAGCAGCCTGAAAATTGCCTTATCCCTGTCCTTAAGACAAGTATTGTCATAGGACTCAAGTTCATTGACATTGATTCTGCAGAATATTTCTTTCTCTCTTGCTCTCTCTCTCTCTCTGTCTTGTTCTCTCTTTGATCTAGGTGTTACAGTTTCCAATAATTGGTTTCTAGCCCCTTCCCCAAGTGATCAACACTTCTCTTTCAGCCACCCTTATTTCTCTAACTTTTGTACCCTTAATGATTTCACAGTTATATCCTCATTATCTTCTCACCTACCATTATATAAACTGTATTCCTACCTTGTCCTTAAATTAACATGCACTTATGGGTTTTTTTTAGCCATGCATGTTTAATTCTTCTTATAACTGAATTAATATGTGGACCAGCCTTCTAGGAGCCTGCATTTTCTGTCCCTGAACCCCAGTTTATCCATGAGTCTATCCCCAATATCTCCTACCAAACCTCATCAGCATGAGTCATTGCCCATTTGTATATCTCTAAGTTTCTTGGTCTACTCTGGCTGCTACAGACAGCCTCCTTAACATTTTGTTGACCAGTCTTCCAGAAGCTGGTCAAATCAACCTCTTCTTTCTTGTAGAATACTGTTAGCCTTTGGTACGGTCCTTTAGATTTACAGAATCAGTTGTCTGTCCTAAAATAATCTACTCCTGACTTTATTTCTCTTTAGAGCAGGACCTCTTATCCTCCCCTTTTCCACTCTGAGCCATGTATAGAGAACTGCTTGTATCCTTGACCCTGTGTGTTTCTCTTGCTTCCACCTGAGCTCTAATTAGGAAAACTTATTCTGAATAAATGACACTTGGAAGAACAAACTCTGACTTACAAAGTAGCATTATACAGTTTTAAGTATTTTTAGCTACCAGCTGTGCAAGCAATAAGTAAGAGACTTTGAAGTGCTAAAAATATTTGGGAAGTGTCAAGTGGGAGTTGGCAAATACCCTGGGGTGAGAAAAGCCCTAGATATGATACATCTGGCACACATTTTTAGAATGTTCTATTTTTAGTCTGTGTTTTGATTTCTGAAGAGATCCAGGGGTGTTTCCCTTAAAAAGAAGCAAAAGTGACAGAAATGCCTTTAGAGAACAAGGTAATTTCTGAAGTATTCTTTCTCTCTTCCCTCTGCCCTTCAAATTAAAATTGGCATGATGCCTGGCATTATTCTTAAATCATAAATCACTCTGAAATCTTTAGAAGAAAAGTGTTCTGTAATGTGCAATTATGAATAAGAAAACACTGCTTGTAACAGTTAAGTATCTTGCTTTTTGGTTACAGCTCTGAGGTTATCACTGCCATTATTTTTTTCCT
This sequence comes from Homo sapiens, assembly GCF_000001405.40. Lineage (NCBI taxonomy): Eukaryota > Metazoa > Chordata > Mammalia > Primates > Hominidae > Homo > Homo sapiens. The sequence continues at coordinate 88,928,858 of NC_000007.14, forward strand.
AGTTATTATTATTGACTAATCATTACAAAATCTTCTAGCTAATTCTTTTTAGTTGGCTCATATATGACACTTATTTTGGACAGTATATTCAATTGAGCCCTTGTCATTGTGGCTCAATAAATAAAGAATATAACCAAAGGAAAAATAAAATTTAGTGATGCAAGTTTGTCTTTTGGTTCAAGTTCTAATATTACCAATCCTCAGAATATTTCCTGATTTCTAGTCTCAGGAAATACAGTAACTTGAATACAGTATGGAGCTCCTAGATAAGCTCTCTTTATCATATACAGATCTCTTGCTGGAAGATCTCCTGTGGCCATCAATAGAAATTTAACTCCCAAGCCTCCTAATTAGTATTAAAAACGGGGAGAGAGACTGGGGATGGGTGTGAGTGTGCTCATGTATTGAATTGGGGTAAGAGGCAACAGAGAGTCCAGTCAAAAAATCTTAGTGAATCTTACTTTTCTACTATATCCCTAAGGTTCTGAAAAAAAAAAAATTAGCTCATGGGTTAAGAAATGCCTGAAACTTACACACTTACCAGTACAATTTGTTAATTAATAGAGTTTTGAGTTAAAAGGTAAGTATTGATTATCAGCAAGTCTTTATACAGTTATCACCTCTGATTTCCAATAATGCCATGGATTATTAAACCTTTTATTTCTTGTCAGCCCCATGTCACGTCTTGTACAGTTTGTATAAAGACACTTGATATCCCAGACTTCCTCAAGGAATCTGTCACTTTCTCTGTATGTTCTTAAAATTTTCAGTCTCCTCTAGTGATAGTATTGGTTTGCTGTAAACATTTCCTGATTCTGTCTGACAAGAGACTGTTAGTCTTTGAACAACAACAACAAAAATCTCTGAAAAATAATCTGAGAAATCCTATTGCAATACTATCATTAGTGTAATGGTGATTTAAAAATACGTTTAAGGTATTACAATTTTGTGATGTCTTTTCACAGAGATTTAGTTTATAAAAAATCCAACTCATTTGTAAATATCATAAACTATTTGTTAATATATTTATGTCTTTACAACCATTTCAAGTTTTTAACGACTAAGCATTTTTTCTCGAACTTTCAAAAAAAATGTATCTTAAAAATTTAGATTGTTTTTAAAGAAAGGTGGTTCCAAAATGTATGTTTTGGTTCTATTCAGTGTAATTGTGGAGTGTCCACATAGTCTTAAATTTATATATTAAATTATTTTTTAGATAATTTGTTGAGATCATTAAACAAATGTTTAGTTTTCAGAATGCACTAGGAGGTGAATTATAGGTATGGGCACCTATAATATTACCTATATGCTTTTTAGTTTCTATTTTGATATTGTGTTACAAATGTCTCAGGTTTTAAATCTCCTTTAAAAACTCAGCAGAAAGAGAAATTTATTTGATTATGTGTTGGGATATAGTTGCAAAAATTAAAGATAATAGCAATGTTGAAATTTGGCCAGTGATCTGCATTAACTGAGGAGAAATGAAAAGTGTTTCTGTGGCATCACAAACAGCCAGCTAAACCTCCAACAATTTAAAAGGCAACCTACTTCATCATCTTTAAAGCAGAGGGAAGGTTGGCAAGAAATATGCATCAGCAATATTTTCTAGTTGAACAAATATCTGAATATAATTCTAGGCTTATGTTTCCAAAAAATGTCCCAGACCATATTTAAAAACTGCTTCAAATTATGTCTCTTAAATTATGTTTATGATTCATATATTGAACTTTCATTACCATTAAAGAGACTTATTGGATGTGTATGCATGAGTGAATTAAGACATCGTGTTTTGTGGTAGTTGATAAGAAAGAGAAGGAGAGTTAATGGCCTAGAATGCTGACGTTTCATGGGTTCTTCAAGACAGCGTTCACCAGGGAAAGGAAAACTTTTGATGGCATTCATCAAATTTGTCAGAGAAATTAAGAATTATAAAATCTTCCTCTTACCAACATGCAGAATCATGCAGGCGTTCCTTTATTTTATAGATACACCTATGATAATACTGCAAGTACTAAAATAATAAAGAGAGCTATCAAATGATTTTTTCCCCTGCAAGGAAATGTCCTTCCTGTAATCAGTAGCTATTATAGCCCAGCCATCGTTAGCCATTATATTAGCCTTCTCTTTTTGGTCAGTAGCTTAAGAATTGAACCATAACATTTATAATTCAGTAGTTTCTGCACACCTGTCTACTTTGTCACTGGCTCAGGGGATTTTGATGTGCATGTTTTGCCTCAGTGAGTCAGTTTCATTGACGTTCTTGCAAAAGTTGCATACACAGTATAAACTTTCCTGAGAAAGATACTTCTTTGCCATAAGGCTTAAAACTATTCATAAAATAATTCTAATTTTAATCTAAGTGATCTAAATTTAAGAACAAATACCAAAGAATCAAATCCATAGTTAATTCATGCATGATAGATAAGTAAATAATTGGTATTTATATTTGAAGCAAGCTCAGTGTTTCAATGCAAAGGTTTTATGCATCTGTCTGTAAAATTGGGATTGCTGTTATTGTTCTCTGAATTCATGAAGGTCAGTTTAACTAAAATGCAAAAGTTGCTTATAGCATTATTTACATAAGGATACAGGTGGAATGCAAAGGAAGGCTGCATCTGCCATCATGGAAATAAGTTTTATGAATCTTTAAATACTACATTAGTTGTCTATGTATATTTATTTTCCTCATTAAGAAAAACTGATAAGGGATAATGGACATATCTCCTTAGTGTAATCTGGCATAAACATCTTAACGGCTCTGACTTCAGTTTTATATTTACTTGTGTTATCATCTGATTATCTGTCTTCTCCCTTTGATTGTATGCTCCATAAAATGAGTCCAGTCAGATCTTGCTTATCATTGTATTCTCTGAATCTATCACCTTGCCTGGAATCTAGTAAATGATCAATAAATGTCTGTTGAATTAACGAGCAAATTATAAGAAAAGTGATTCAATGTTTTTTTTAAAAAACTTCAAAACACTTGTTCACACTTGATCAATTGAAACTTGTTAATAAAAATACAAAATTAGACTGTGTAATTTAATGCTAGTACTATTGGTGTTTCCCAGAAGCAAAAGTGTATATAGGAGAGGAAAAATGTGTTTTCTGTCTGCCCTTCTAAGTTCTTGGCAGAGGCCTCTGTAAAAAAAAAAAGACATATTAACAAGAGAAAAGCATATAAATGCATCTAATGTAGGTTAATATGACACAGGAGTCTTCATAAGGAAATGAAGAAATGATTAAACTTGAGTGCTTTTATGCTAGGCTTGATGAAGAGTGGAAAGTCACAGACAAAATGGGTATGAGCTAAGAGTATTAAGCTGAGGGAAACTTGGCAAGGTCTGTGCATTCAGATCCCTCTCAGCATCCCTCTGCCATTGTACATAAGAATACTCATTTCCTAGTTCATAGCATTAAATGACTACATCAAAAAGTCTGAAAGAGTACAGCTTAGACAACCTAATGTCACACCTTAAGGAACCAGAGAAACAGAACAAACTAAATCCAAACCCAGCATAAGAAAAGAAATCACAAAGATCAGAGCAAAAATAAATGAAATTGAAACAAAAAAAATACAAAAGATAAATGAAACAAAAAGCTGATTCTTTGAAAAGATAAACAAAATTCATTGACCATTAGTGAGATTAACCAAGAAAAGAAGACAGATGATCCAAATGAGCTCAATTAAAAATGAAACTGGAGATTTTAAAACCAACACCATAGAAATTCCAAAGATCATTCAAGGCTACTGTGAACACCTTTATGCACACAAACTAAAAAATCTAGAGGAGATGGGTAAATTCCTGAAAATATACAGGCTCCTAGATTAAATCAGGAAGAACTAGAGACACTAAGCAGACCAATAACAAGCAGCGAGATTGAATCAGTAATAATAATAAAAAATGCCCACAAAAAGTCCAGAACTAGATGGATTCACAGATGAATTCTATCAGACATTCAAGAAGAATTCTTTGAATTCTTCTTTTCAAATTCTCAAAGAAGAATTGGTAACATTCCTACTGAAATGATTCCAAAAGATAAACGATTCCAAAAGATAAAGAGGGAATCCTCCCTAAATTTTTATATGAATCTAGTATCACCCTAATACCAAAACCATGAAAGCACATAACAACAACAAAAATTACAGACCAATATCCCTGATGGACATAGATGCAAAAATTCCCAACAAAATATTAGCTAACCAAATCCAACAGAATATCAAAAATATAATACACCATGATCAAGTGGGTTTTATACCAGGGATGCAGGGATGGCTTAATATATACATGACAATAAATGTGATATGTCACATAAAGAGAATTAAAAACAAAAACCACATGATTATCTCAATAGATGCAGAAAAAGCATTTGATAAAATTTAATATCCCTTTATAATAAAAAACCTCAACCAAATAGACATAGTAGAAACTTATCTCAAAGTAATAAAAGACATATATGACAAACCAACATCATATTGAATCAGGAAAAGTTGAAAGCATTTCCCCTGAGAACTGGAACAAGACAAGGATGCACACTTTAACCACTTCTATTGAACCTAGTACTGGAAGTCATAGGCAGCGCAATCAAACAAGAGAAAGAAACAAAGGGCATCCAAATTTGAAAAGAGGAAATGAAACTGTCGCTAATCACCAATGATATGATTGTATACCTAGAAAACTCTAAAGTTTCGTTCAAAAAGCTCCTATATCTGATAAATTCAGTAAAGTCTCAAGATACAAAATCAACGTACGTGAATCAGTAGCACTGCTTTACACCAACAGTGACCAAGCTGAGTATCAAATCATGAACTCAATCCATTTTGCAACAGCTGCAAAAAACAAACAAGGAGTTGAAAGATCTTTACGATGAAAACTACAAACCACTGCTGAAAGAAATCATAGATGACACAAACAAACAAAAACACATCCCATTCTCATGGATGAGTAGAATCAATATTGTGAAAATGACCATACTGCCAAAATCAACCTACAAATAAAATGCAATTCCCATCAAAATACCATCATCATTCTTCACAGAACTGGAAAAACAATCGTAAAATTTGTATTAAACCAAAAAAAAAAAAAAAGCCCACATAGCCAAAGCAATACTAAGGAGAAAGAACAAATTTGGAGGCATCACATTACCCAACTTCAAACTATACTACATGGCTATAGTTACCAAAACGACATGGTACTGGTATAAAAATAGACATGTAGACCAATAGGACAGAATAGAGAACCCAAAAATAAAGCCAAATAGAGCCAACTGATCTTCAACAAAGCATACAAAAACATAAATTGGGGAAAGGATAATCTATTCAATAAATGGGGCTGGAAAACTGACAAGCCACATGTAGATAAATATAAATGGTTCCTCATCTCTCACTTTTTACAAAAATCAGCTCAATATGGATCAAAGACCTGAAGTCAAAAATTCTAGAAGATAATTTCAGAGAAACTCTTCTACACATGGACTTAGGCAAAGGATTCATTCCTAAGACTCCAAAAGCAAATGCAACAAAAACAAAAATGAATAAATGGTACTTAATAAAATGAAAAACTTTCTGCACAGCAAAAGAAATAATCAGCAGGGTAAACAGACAACCCACAGAATGGGAGAAAACATTCACAAACTGTGAGTCCAACAAAGGAATAATATCCAGAATCTACAAGGAACTCAAATCGGCAAGAAAAAAATAATCCCATCAAACAGAAGGCAAATGATATGAATAGACAATTCTCAAGAAAGGATAAACAACCAACAAACATAAGAAAAAACATGCTAAACATTACCAATTATTAGGGAGGTGCAAATTAAAACCACAATGAGATACCACCTTACTCCTGCAAAAGTGGTAACAATTAAAAAGTAAAAAACCGATAGATGTTGGTGTCGATGTGTTGAAAAGTGAACACCTTTACATTCCTGGTGGGAATGTAAACTATGAAAAACACTGTGACAATTCCTTAAAGACTAAACGTAGAACTACCATTCAATCCAGCGATCCCACTACTGGGTATCTACCCAGAGGAAAATATATTGTTATACAAAAAGACACATGCACATGCATGTTTATAGCAGCACAATTCATAATTGCAAAGACATGGAACCAAGCTAAGTACCCATCAAACAGAGTGGGTAAAGAAAAGGTTATATATATAGATATATGTGTGTGTGTGTATATATATATACACACACACATACACACATACACATACCATGGAATACTATTCAGCCATAAAAAGGAACAAAAGAATGTCTTTTGCAGCAACTTGGATGGATTGGAGGCCATTATTCTAGGTGGAGTAATTCAGAAATGGAAAACCAAATATCATATGTTCTCACTTATAAGTGAGAGCTAAGCTATGAGGATGTGAAGGCATAAGAATGATACAATGTATATAGCTCAGGTGACAGGTGCACCAGAATCTCAGAAATCACCACTAAAGAACTTACTCATGTAACCAAAAACTACCTCTACTCAAAAAACTATTGAAGTAAAAGTAATTAAAAAAAAAAAAAAAAAGAATACACCTTTTCTGGCCAGCCATAGTGGCTCACAGCTGCAATCTTAGCACTTTGGGAGGCTGAGGTGAGAGGATCACTTGAGGGTAGGAATTTGAGACCAGCATGGGCAACATGGTGAGACCTCACTCTATTTATTTTTTATTAATTTTTTTTTAATAAAAAGAATGCTCCTTACTTTCAAGTGTAGGGTGGGCACCTTCCACATTAGGGTCAGAAAGTCTTTCCTGCACATGCTGTTTCTCAAATTCCTTCAGCTAAAAATACTCAATGTCCAAGATGCCATATTTTGAGTAGTCTCTCTAAAATCCTATCAAGGAGAAAATTAAATATATGTATTTATTCTAATTCCTCATTTGCTTAGTAGGTGCCATAAGTTTTCAGGAAAATTACTAAAAAAATTTTTTTATCCTATTTGGAAGTCTGTTCAACTACTAATGACAGTTACAGGACTGAACCTCCTTAGAATCTCTTCTTTTCTCTGCTTCTTTTCTTGTTTCCTTTTCTTTCTTTTTTCTTTTCTCTTCCTTTCCTTCTTTTCTCTTTCCTTCTCTTCATTCTTTCATCTTTCTGTTTTCCGATTTTTCTTTTTCTCTCTTTCTCCCTCCCTTCCTCCATTTCTTTTTTTCTTCCTCCTGCCCACCCTCCCTCTTCCCTCTCTTTCTTCCTTCCTTTCCTTTCCCCTTCTCTCTCCTTCCTTCCTTCATCTTTCTTCCTTTTTTTTTTTAAAAAAAATAACATATGCCTGTGGTCCTAGAATACTATTGCTGAAATGTCCTTGGAAAGCACTTTAAGAATAAAAAAGTTAAAAGCAATGATGTTCCCAGCATTACACTATCATTTTAATGTCAGAATAAAAACTTGGAAATAGCTAGTGATTCCTAATTTAAAGATATCTTTATTATGTAGGGAAGTTTATGTAGAGGAACTTTCCCTCTGAGGTTTCAATAACAGAGTCACCCTGCCAAATTAAACTGACAATAGACAGATGATCAAAGCAAAAGGCATAGCAATTTATTAAGATGCATATAAACATGGGAGTCCTGCAAATCTAAGACTTGAAGGGCCAGATAGCTGAAGCTTAAATAACCTCTTCATAGCGAAGAGGGAAATGGGGGATGTAGGCAATTGAGAGGGGTAGTAAATGACCTTTAGGAGAAATCAATGGGCCCAGGAGACAGAAATTAGCTTGTAAATGATTCTCTTTGGAATATGAGTGACACTGAAAGAGACAATGTCTTGTGACAAAGTGTGTCTAGGTGTTGGTTACATTCTTCAATCTTCCTTCTTGTGTTAGATAATGAAATTTCAGGGAGGGAATAGAAGGAAATTGCGTTCCTTCAGGAAGAGCTTCAGATAAGGGAACTTCATAAATAGAGTTCTACCTTATGCTTGGTGGGAAGAAACAGGAGAAGGTCAAAAAGTCCTTGGTGCTGAGGCTGTTTCTAAGGTCTTTTAATTTCCTTGAGTTCAAAAGTGCTCAGCATGCCGAAGCACCATACTGTGGAGCGTTGCTCTCTTGAGCTTCAACAATTACATTTAAGCTAGACTGAAAAATATAGCCACAAAGTATTAATAAATAAAATAGATATAATGAGAACAATGTATTTAAAGACATGGATATAAAGATATATTGGATAATTCTAGCAAAATAGCAGATTAGGCTGTTGGAAATAGGCCTGCTTTCTGCCCCAAACACATAAATGCTTTGAAAAAACTATGAGAATAGCAAAAAAAAAAAAAAAAAAGTATTATTGCTCTCCACATAACTGAATTTGACAGAAAGAAAGATTTCCCAGGGGTGAAAAACAAATAATGAAAAAGAAAATGACAGGGGAAGGCCAAATCTCTGATAGTCCGCTGGCATTCTGGCATTAGATACCGGCAACAGGACTGTAGGCTGCAGTCCCTAATGCCCATTTATAGATAAAGAAATACTTCATCTCAAACAATGGACTAGAATTTAGGCCTCTACATCAAATAAAGAGCCTAAGCTTATTCTTTGCTCTGAATAGGAAAAATCTATCCATCGACCTGCAAAATATTAGGGAAGCTATTTAATCTAGGGATTTGAGTCAGTGTGAGGGAGAATCACTGACAAGCATCAAAACCCCAGCTTCCCTATAAATGAATGAAAGTTTTGAAGTTATGTTAACCATAGAACACAGTAATCTACAGGATGAGAAATGATATAAAAATAGAGTCGGGGTAACTGATGCTATTTGAGCTCTAGGCAAAAGCAAGTTTCATAAATAAATAATCTAATTTCTTGTAAGATATCCAAAAGAAAAAAAATGAATTAGAAGCAAAAGTCAATGACATAGTGGCAAACAATGTTTTCAGAAAAGAAAAATCAATATGTGTGCACCTTTCATATTGAAGGGTCACAGTGAGTCCCAAATAGGATAGTCCAAAGCCCTACCCAAGTTTAACTGCAGCATGTTAAAACAAAGAAAAAACTTTACATCTTTGAGAGAGAGAGATTGAGAGAGGTATGTAGACAAAAAGAATTGAACTGTGTAAAATATTGGAAGAGATTTATTCTGAGCCAAATATGGGTGACCGTGGGCTGTGACAGCCCTCAGGAGGTCCTGGGAACATGTGCCCAAGGTGGTAGGGGCGCAGATTGGTTTTATACATTTTAGAGAGCATGAGACATCAGTCAAATACACTTAAGAAATATATTGGTTTGGTCCAGAAAGGTGGGCCAACTCAAAGCAGGGTTGGAAGTGGGGAGGGGGAGGTTTCCAGGCTATAGGTGAATTTAAACATTTTCTGGTTGACAATTGGTTGAGTTTGTCTAAAGATCTAGGATTGATAGAAAGGGAATGTTCAGGTTAAGATAAAAGATTGTGCAGACCAAAGTTCTTTTGAAGTCTTATAATGGCTGCCCTTAGAGAAAATAGATGACAAGTGTTTCCTATTCAGATCTTAGTTAATCTCTTTAGGATTGGGAGGGTCTGGAAGAAAAAGATCTAGCTATGTTAATAGAGCTTCTTTTATAGATGCATGTTCTTCCCCACAAAGAACAACTTTGCGGGGCTATTTCAAAATACGGCAAATAAACATGTTTTGGGGTAAAATATTTTTATTTTCTTCCTTGTCTGGTAATGTTATACCAGAGTCAGGTTGGAAAATCATGATATATAGGGTTAAATAAAAGCCATCTGATGAGAATGTATGATTTGTAGGGCATGACTCCCCAGTCTCTTTAGATAGGAATTTGGGCAAGATTAAAAAATCAGTTTAGTCCTCAGGTATATACTGGCTTTCTAAAAAATGAATGATGGTTAGAGCAAAAGTGGAAGTCTCATCAGCAAAACAGGAGGAAAAGTAGAAAGTACTGAGATAAAATAACCAACTCAGAACAATACCCAGCAAATTAACAAGAATAAAACTGAAGTGAATATATAGCAAGCCCAAGAAAGGAAAAAACAAGACTTAAGAATCTATCATTCAAAAATCCTCACTGACAGAAAAACCACCGGAATTATTTCAGAAAGAAGTTAATTAAACCTTAAGGAACAAGTTTGTTTCTAGAAAAAAATAGACAAAAATTTTGATTAACCTAAGGAATTCTTGTCACTAAGTTCAATATTACTGTTAAATATACTGACTAGTTTTGAGTGTCTAAAACAAGAGGAATTAAATAGTAGACAATAGTAAAGTAGAAAGATAGAATGAGGAAGATTGAAAATAAAAGTGTTCTATTTTCTGTTGTCTAAGAAATGTACAGTTGTTCCTTGGTATCCATTGGGGATTGTTTTCAGGAACCCCCCTGGGATACCAAAATTTATAGATGTTCAAATTCTGTATATCAAATGCACTGTATTTGCATATGACCTGTGTGCATCCTCCTTTACATTTTAAATCAACTCTAGATTACATATAATACCCAATCAAATATAAATATTATATAAATAGTTATTGTGCTCTATGGCTTTTTACACTGTATTTTTGTTGTTGTAATGTTAATATTTATTTTTAATATTTTTAATCTGTGTTTGGTTGAATCCACAGACAGAATCCACAAATATGGAGGGCCAACTGTATGAAAATATTGTTTTTATTTTTAGTTTAGTTTGTTAAATCAAGCTTACTTGTCAAAAGAGGAATAAAGAAACCAATTAAAAAGTAATAATAAATAAAAGCCACCAACCATTGTGTTGGAAATGAATCTATCATGTCATTCCAATGAATTACAATGAATATAAACAAATTCTCCCATTAAAAGCCACAGTCGTGCACTAGATTAGAAATAATAAATCCACAAATACACTATTTAAAACATGATGCAGAAAAGATAAAAATAAAAAGATTGAAAAAGATATAATAGGAAAACGATAATCCAAATAAAGTTGTTAAAGCTGTAGTGATCTAATAAAAAAAAAAAGCTTGAAAGCAAAAGACATTGCTAAAGTGGGTCAGTATGAAATAATAGACAGCACATTTCATCAGGAACATACACCACTCCTGAATGTATTTTGCATTATAATCCCAAAATACATGATAAAGATGTACAAGAATTATAAGTTTAGATTGATAAGTCTACAGTCAGAGGGGAAGATACTATTGTACTTCTTTCAGAAACTATCTTATCAAACAGACAAAAGTAATAATATGGAAAATTAAAAACACAATTAAAAAATCTTAAATTAATTCATGTATTTGAAAGAACTCTTTATTCTTTTTAAGTGTTCTCACAAATTAATTATGTACTTATTCATAAATACCAAAGGATGAACTAAATATACTCAGATCTAAATGTAATAAAATTAGAAAAAAATTATGAGGAGAGCAATCAGATACATTCAAACACTGAGAAACATACTTCCAAGTAATCCAAGAATCAAATAAAAAAGTATAATGGCAATTATTAAATGTTTAAATCTTCAAAATAATAAAACCAAAACTTAAGGAAGACAAGCTAATTTTATGGAAAAAAATTATATGGTCTTAAATGAGATTTTTATAAAGGAGTAAGAATAAAAATTAGATAAGTATTCAACTAAAGAAATTCAAAAGGCCAAAGTTAACCTTAATAAATAATACATACATAAGCTAAAAGCAGAAATTAATAGAAACAAATGATTAAAAATAGAATGGCCAGGTGTGGTGGCTCACGCCTATAACCCTAACAGTTTGAGGACGAGGCAGGAGGATTGCTTGAGTCCAGGAGCTTGAGATCAGCCTGGACAACATAGCAAGACAGTGTCTCTACAAAACTTAAAAGATTAGCTGGGCATGGTGGTGTGCACTTGTGGTCCCAGCTACTCTGGAGGGTAAGGTGAGAGGATTGCTTGAGCTAGGGAGGTAGAGCTGCAGTGAGCCATGATCATGCAACTGCATGCCAGCCTGGGCAACAAAGTGGGACCCTATTTAAAATAATAATAATAATAATAATAATAATAATAATAATAATAGAATGTATCTCAAGACAATGAGAAGAAAACCTACATACTGGGAGAAAATATTTACAAAAGACAATCTGATAAAGAACTGTTATCTAAAATAATGTGATGAAGTCTTAAAATTCAACAATAAGAAAATAACCTGATTAAAAATTGGGTTTAAAAAAATGAACAGACATCTCACCAAATAAGATATTCAGAGGGCAAATAAGCATATGAAAAGATGCTTAACATCATGTTATTAGGGAATTGCAAATTAAAATAACTAACAGCTATTTAATATTATTATAGCAAAAATGTAAATTACTGACAACATAAAAAGTGGCCAAAAATGTGGAGCAATAGAATCTCTCATTCTTTGCTAGTGGGACTCCAAAATGGTACAATGACTTTAGGAAACAATTTGGCAGTTTCTTATAAAACTAAGTGTGCTCTTACCATACAGTCTATCAGTTGGACTCCTTGGTATTTACCCAGAGGAGATGAAAACATATGTCTGCACAAAATCCTGCACACAGATATTTATAGCAGCTTTATTCATAATTGCTAAAACTTGGAAGTAACCAAGATGTCCTTCGTTGAGTGGATAAATAAACTGTAATGCATTTAGATAAGGGAATATTATTCAGTGCTAAAAGAAAATGAACTATCAAGCAATAAAAAGACGTGGTGGAAATTTAACTGTATATTACTAAATAAAAGAAGCCAATTTGAAAAGACAACATGTTGTATAATTCCAACTATATGACCTTCTGGAAAAGGAAAAATTATGGAGACAGTAAAAAAGATCAGTGGTTGTTAGGGATTAGGAGGAGAAAGAGATGAACAGACAGAGCACAGATGATTTTTAAGACAGTGGATCTATTTTGTATAATATATAATGGTAGGTACATGTCATTATACATTCGTCAAAATCCACAAAATATACAATACCAGGAATGAACCCTAATATAAATTGTGGACTTTAGAAGATAATGTTGTGTGGATGAAGGTTGTTCTTGGTCCTTTGGCTAGAGAGGACCAAGATCTTTGATGTGGCTTTTTGTGGTTGTGCCCATTGACATTTCTGGGTTGTCAACTTAAATTTAAGTATATATAAGGCAAAAGGAAATCCAAGGTAACTTATCCTCATGTCATTCCTTGGGCCCTGAAGTCCCTTAGAGTTTCCTTATGTTTATTTTATAGACAATATCTAAGGTTTTTAGTTGTGCCTAGATGAAGGAAGCTCTTCCGTTTTCTCTGAAACAGAAATTCAGTTTCCCACTTTGCCAAGAAAATTAAAATAATCCTAAGAAAATCTACAAACTCCCATGAAATATGTATCTACTCATAGTTATCTGTATTAATATAGTCTTATCTCATATCCTAGACTCTCTATGGTCTTGTATAAAAAAATCCCCAAATTCATCAAGATTTTGAAAGGATCTATGTGCTTCTACCTCCTCATTAGACTACATTCATCTTTTTCATTGTGCCATCGCAGGCAACATTCTGTCATACAATTGGTGCTTAGTAAATTGTGACAAAAATTAACAAATAGTGCTATTATAGTTTTCATAATATGTATAAGAACATTTAAGTTTCCTTTTAATTTTATGAGTTGACTTTATATGTATAAATGAGGAGAGTGAATGAAATAGAGATTGAAGTAGAGTGGAATAGAGTGAAGGGAGATTATGTTTTGGTATAAAAGATATTTGAGTGAGTGTGTGTGTGTGTGTGTGTGTGTGTGTGTTTTGCATTGAATTATCGTAAGGTCTTTGTTCTGTTCACTGATATATCTTTTAAGCTTGAAAAAAAAAAGCCTGGCATATTCTAGGTGCTTGATTGATCATCTTGAATGAATGCATGAATAAACAGTGATGTATTACACTTAAAAAAAACCAATGGTATTTAGGTTAGACCACGTGTTACCATCAAATGAAAATATAAAGTCTTTTCTAGTCTTGGGACCTTATATATTATGTGTGTTGGTTCTTCTTGGCATTTATTTCTTAAACATTTCCATTCTCCTTTAAGTGATTTTATCACTGCCTCTTTTATATTCACCACTGAGTATCTTATGGCACTGAATATAGCAGACCTCATTTATAGGAGCAATATTAACCTGTATTGATTTGCAGTCATGTAACATTTAAATGCAAAAAGGTTTATTAATGGCATTCTTTCCCAAAGAACAGAAAAACAGTTGCATGCTTAAATGTATGGGTGTGACTTGTCATGCATGCTGATGTATTCTACCATTGTTATGCTTGCCAGCTGCAAACCACAATCAGAAAACCCCTAGTAATTATAATAGAACAAATTAAAAAGAGGAAAATCTTCTTTCTCTCTGCTTAGCTTTCGTGAATACGGGAAGTCAAAAATAAAAATCAGGACTTAGTAAATTTTTGTTGTTACAGAAAAGGTATTTCTCTATTTTATGTATTAATAATTGAAGTTGGAAACAGTTTCCACTGGAGCTTGTTACACAGCAGCAGCCCTTTCACCCATCTCCAGGCCTTGAAAGTAGTGGTATGTAAACTACAGGAGTATGATTACCAGCATAGGTATTGGGGGAAATGCACCACAATATCCTTTCCATATGATAGATTCTATTTGGACTTTTCTGTTAGCAAGCACTTGCTTACATTGTAGTATTTTTCTTTGTAATTTCCAATTATGTAAAATCTCAAGCCATACAGCAGTAAATTAAATTTGTAATAAAAAGTTTTGAGTTTAACTTCCTCTGACCTGGAGTCTTCACTTTTGTAGAGAAGCAAAAGTATAGCCTTTGTTTTCTTGCTTAGTTTAGTTTATTGAGATAATACAAAGTAAAACTCATCCTTTATAGAGTACATTTCAATGAGTTCTGATAAATATAAACAATGTGACTACCACTACAATGAAGATATGCAACATTCTCATTACCCCAAAGAGTTGCCTTGTGGCTCTGTGTTTTCAATCTCCTCCCCAAAGTTAGCCCCTGGAAAACACAGATCTGATTTCTGCACCTATAACTTTGAATTTTCTAGAATGTTATATAAATGGGAGCCACATTTTCTTTTAAAAGAAAATTTAAAGGGCTGTGTACCTTTCTGTATTTGTCTTCCGTCACTTAGCATATGCTTTTCATATTCATTCATTTCATCGTATGTATCAGTTCCTTTTTATAACTGAATAGTATTGCAATGCGTGGCTGTATAAAAATTTATCCATTTACAGTTTGTTAGACATTTAGGTTATTTTCAGTTTGTGATCATTATGCATAAAAGTGCTATAAATATTTACAAATAAATTTGTGTGTAGAAATATATTTTCCTTTATGTTGAATAAAAATCCAGGAGATATTTATGGGATTTTGGTGAGTAAATGTTTAACATTGTACTGGTATCTCAGAGTGTTTTCCAAAGTGGCTATATCATGTTGCACTCCCACCAGTAGTCTGTGAGAGTTTAGGTTATTCCATATCGTTGTTAGGACTTGGAATTGCCATTAAAAAATTAATTTTTGCCATTGTAAAAAGTATGTAAAGGTATCACAGTGCAATTTTTGTTTGCATTTTCTAATGACTAATGATACTGAATATAATTTATTTGTTTCACTTTTGTATTTTTGTTTATAAAGTGTTCAAATATTTTGCTTATTTTTATTGTATTTTAAAATTTTATAATTATTGAGTTGCAAGGTTAATATTTGCATTCTGGATGCAAGTTTTATCATACACACATACATATGTAGCCATGGGTTCTGCATCTGGAGATTTAACCAACTGCAGATGGAAAATATTCAGAAAAAAACACTAAAAAATAATAATACAACAATAAAACAGATAAAAATACAAAAATATTATAACAACTATTTACATAGTATTTACATAGTATTAGGTAATAAAAGTAACCAGAGTCATTTAAAATATACAAAAGGATGTGTATTAGTTATATGCAAATATAGGTTGAGCATCCCTAATTTTAATTCAAAAACTGGAAATCTGAAATACTCCAAAATCCAAAACTTTTTGAGTGCTGACAGACTCAAGTAGAAAATTCTATAATTAGTACTTAACACAAAATTTGTTTCATGCACGAAAGTATTAAATATATTGTATAAAATTACCTTTGGGCTATGTGTGTAATGTATATATAAAACATAAAAGATGGGGTTGTTTTTTTCTTGTAAATTTGTTTAAGTTCCTTGTGGGTTCTGGATATTAGCCCTTTGTTAGATGGATAGATTGCAAAAATTTTCTCCCATTCTGTAGGTTACATGTTCACTCTGATGATAGTTTCTTTTCCTTTGTGGAAGCTCTTTAGTTTAATTAGATCCCATTTCTCAATTTTGACTTCTGTTGCCATTGCTTTGGTGTTTTAGTCATGAAGTCTTTGCACATGTCTATGTCCTGAATGGTATTGCCTAGGTTTCCTTCTAGGGTTTTTATGGCTTTAGGTATTACGTTTAAGTCTTTAATCCATCTTGAGTTAATTTTTGTATAAGGTGTAAGGAAGGGGTCCAGTTTCAGTTTTCTGTAGATGGCTAGCCAGTTTTCCCAACACCATTTTTTAAATAAGGGATCCTTTCCCTATTGCTTGTTTTTGTCAGGTTTGTCAAAGATCAGTTAGTTGTAGATGTGTGGCGTTATTTCTCAGGACTCTGTTCTTTTTCCATTGGTCTATATATCTGTTTTGGTACCAGTACCATGCTGTTTTGTTTACTGTAGCCTTGCAGTATACTTTGAAGTCAGGTAGCATGATTCCTCCAGCTTTGTTCTTTTTGCTGAGGATTGCCTTGGCTATATGGGCTCTGTTTTGGTTCCATATGAAATTTAAAGTAGTTTTTTCTAATTCTGTGAAGAAAGTCAATGGTAGCTTGATGGGGTTAGCATTAAATCTATAAATTACTTTGGGCCATATGGCCATTTTCATGATATTGATTCTTCCTATACATCAGCATGGAATATTTTTCCATTTGTTTGTGTCCTCTCATTTCCTTGAGCAGTGGTTTGTAGTTCTCCTTGAAGAGATCCTTCACATCCCTTGTAAGTTGTATTCCTAGGTTATTTTATTCTCTTTGTAGCAATTGTGAATGGGAGTTCACTCATGATTTGGCTCTCCGTTTGTCTATTATTGGTGTATAGGAATGCTTGTGATTTTTGCACATTGATTTTGTATCCTGAGACTTTGCTGAAGTTGCTTATCCACTTAAGGAGATTTTGGGCTGAGATGACAGGGTTTTCTAAATATGCAATCATGACATCTGCAAACAGAGACTATTTGACTTCCTCTCTTCCTATGTGAATACACTTTATTTCTTTCTCTTGCCTTATTTCCCTGGCTAGAACTTCCAATGCTATGTTGAATAGGAGTGGTGAAAGAGAGCATCCTTGTCCTGTGCCGGTTTTCAAAGGGAATGTCCACTTTTGCCCATTCAGTATCATATTGGCTGTGGGTTTGTCATAAATAGCTCTTATTATTTTGAGATACATTCCATCGATACCTAGTTTATTGAGAGTTTTTTTTTTTAGCATGAAAGGGTGTTGAATTTTATCGAAGGCCTTTTCTGCATCTATTTAGATAATTATGTGGTTTTTGTCATTGGTTCTGTTTATGTGATGCATTACATTTATTGATTTGTGTATGTTGAACCAGCCTTGCATCCCAGGGATGAAGCCGACTTGATTGTGGTGGATAAGCTTTTTGATGTGCTGATGGATTCTGTTTGCCAGTATTTTATTGAGGTTTATTGCGTCGATGTTCATCAGGGATATTGGGCTGAAATTTTCTTTTTTTTTTTTTTTTGTTTTATCTCTGCTAGGTTTTGGTATCAGGATGATGCTGGCCTCATAAAATGAGTTAGGAAGGAGTCCCTCTTTTTCTATTCTTTGGAATAGTTTCAGAAGGAATGGTACCATTTCCTCTTTGTATCTCTGGTAGAATTAGGCTGTGAATCCATCTGTTCCTGTGCTTTTTTTGATTGGTAGGCTATTAATTACTGCCTCAATTTCAGAACTTGTTATTGGTCTCTTCAGGGATTTGATTCTTCCTGGTTTAGTCTTGGGATGGTGTCAAAAAGTGGGCAAGAGATATGAACGGACACTTCTCAAAAGAAGACATTTATGTGGCCAATAAACATACGAAAAAAAAGCTCATCATCACTTGTCATTAGAGAAATGCAAATCAAAACCATAATGAGATACCATCTCACGCCAGTTAGAAGGGTGGTAATTAAAAAGTCAGGAAGCAACAGATGCTGGAGAGGATATAGAGAATTAGGAATGCTTTTACACTTTTTTTGGGAGTGTAAATTAGTTAAACCATTGTGGAAGACAGTGTGGCAATTCCTCAAGGATCTAGAACCAGAAATACCATTTGACCCAGCAATCCCATTACTGGGTATATACCCAAAACATTATAAATCATTCTACTATAAAGACACATGCACACATTTGTTTATTGCAGCACTGTTCACAATAGCAAAGACTTGGAACCAACCCAAATGCTCATCAGTGATAGACCGGATAGAGAAAATGTGGCATATATACAACATGGAATACCCAGCAGCCATTAAAAAGGATGAATTCATGTCTTTTGCAGGGACATGGATGAAGCTGGAAACCATGGTTCTCAGCAGACTAACACAGGAACAGAAAATGAAACACTGCATGTTCTCACTCATAAGTGGGAGTTGAACAATGAGAACACGTGGACACAGGGAGGGGAACATCAAACACCAGGGCCTGTCAGGTGGTGGGGGGCTAGGGGAAGGGAGGGGTAGCATTAGGAGACATACCTAATGTAGATGACAGGTTGATGGGTGCAGCAAACCACCATGGCACGTGTATACCTACCTAACAAACCTGCATGTTCTGTATATGTATCACAGAACTTAAAGTATATATAAAAAAGAAAAAAAAACTTAAAAGAATTTTGTGTTTAGACTTGGGTTCCATCCCCAATAAATCTCACTATGTATATGAAAATATTCAAAAATCCAAAAGAAATCTAAAATCCCAAACAATTCTGGTCCCAAGCATTTCAGATAAGGAGTACCCAATCTACACTGTGCCATTTCACATAAGCAACTTAAGCATCTGTGGATTTTGGTATCCACAGGGGTCATGCAACCAATTCTCAAGGATACTGAGGAACAATTGTATATGTTTTCACACATTTTATCTCTTTGTAAATTGTGTTGTAATTTTCTTAATAATATCTGTAGTGTGCTACAAGTGATATTTCATGGTTATAAAATTAGTGATAGACAAAATATCTAATTAAGTGTCTTGCAAGGACAATACTACCTGCTACTTAATGGTAGATGGTAAAAGGGCCCAGGAGACTTTCCAGATCTCCTTGATAACCGGAGATGGGGACTTCCCAGAGACCCCACCAGGATGGGATTTTAAGACCCTCATAGCAAACATGCCTGGGTATTACTGGGTCTCTATGATAATGAGTCCTAAAAAACCCTAGTTGTTCTAGAGACAAGGTCGCCTCAGCACAGAAACAACCTTCGTGTACTAGCCACCCATCCATTTTTTTTTTTTTTTTTTTTTTTTTGAGATGAGGGTCTCTCTTGTCAAGGCTGGAGTGCAGCGGTATGATCATGGGCCATCGCAGCCTCAACCTCCAAGGCTATGAACTTTAAAACAAAGCTTACCCTTCCAAGAATAGCTTAAAGTCCCTTTATGAAAGAAATACCTGGTAACTGACCTAGATTTAATGCCAGTATAAGAAGAGGAGAAGAATCCCCCAAACTCTGAGAATAGCCTCCAAACAGAGATCCTCCCTGACTGACCCCCTGCCTGTACCTGGCCCATGCCACCAGCCTGCTCCTGCTGTCCATCTGATAAGAGCCCTGCCTAAATAGACCTCTTGAGCATTAGCTGGTGTCTAAGACTCATCTTTCATGTGTAATGGATGGAAGAAGAGAAGTCACCCCAGGGAAGCTGGTCAACTAGGACAACTGGGGACCACCGAAGTGACATTATCTTTACAAAAAGGAGAGGTGGTTTTTGTTGTTGTTGCTATTTCTAATGTTGATGGAGTCCTATTTACCAATTTATATTTTAGGTTTGTGCTTTTTGAGTCCTGTTTAGGAAATATTTTTCTAGTCCGCGATCACAGAAGTTTTATCTTAACTTCTCTAGAGTTTCAGATTTAGATTTTACATTTTGATCTCTGACCATTTTATTTTTTAAAATTAATTTTGTATGTGATTACTTTTGTATACTATGTGAAGTATGAGTTGAGAAAGCGTTGGTGTGTTTTTTTTTTAAATTAACGTCATACATATTTTGATTTTTTTTGGATTGTTCTATTCTGTTCTGTTAATCTTTACAACTACTTTTCCACTAATACCAGAGATAAGGTAATATGATCATGGCGTGTAAGTCATCCAATCTTGTTCTTTTTCAAAATTGTTTTGGTGATTCTAGTCCAAGGTTTCTCAACCCTTGGGACAATTGACCATTTGCGCTTGATAATTATTTGCTATGGGAGGGCTGCCTGGGACACTTTAGAATGTTTAGCAGCATCCCTGGCCTCTACTCACTGGATGCTAATAGCATCTTTCCCAATTGTGATCACCAAAAATGTCTCCAGACAATGCCAAAAATCCCCTGGGAGACAAAGCTGTCCTCTGATTGAGAACCATTATTCCAGTTCTTTGCTATTTCATTTACATTCTAGAATTGGCTTGAAAATGTGGCAAAGAACTGACATAACTTTAGTAACTTTTCTAATCCTTGTATGTGGCATATCTTCCATTTACTTAGGTTTTTAATTTCCTTTAGCAGGGTTTTATAGTTTTTATCATATAGAAATTGCAGCTCTATTGACCAATTTATCTAAAAATACCTTATATATTTGATACTATTATAAATGGTGCTTTAAAATTTACTTTCTGATTGTTGTTTGTAATACAGTCATGTGCTGCGTAAAGATGTTTTCATCAACCACATATATGAAAATGGTCCTTTAAGGTTATAATATGGTATTTTTACTGTTCCTTATGTTTAGATACATAAATATTTACCATTATGCTACAATTGCCTGCAGTATTCAGTACAGTAACATGCTGTACAGGTTTGTAGCCTAGGAGCGGTAGGCTATATCATGTAAAGTATAGTAGGTTATATCATCTAGATTTGTGTCAGTACACACTATCATGTTCACACAATGGCAAGTTTGCCTAACAATGCGTTTCTCAGAATGTATACCTGTTATTAAGCAATGCATGACTTATATAGACATGCAATTTATTTTTGTATGTTAACCATATATCCTGCAACCTTGCTAAACTCTCCTGTTAGACCTGGTAAATCTCTGATAGATACCTTAGGATTTTCTACTTGGACAATCATGTCATAAGTGAATAAAGATATTTTTTCTCCAATGAAAAGATTTACGTTGTTATCTGCAGCAGTAGAAATATTTCCATGTTGTTTGTTTAATTTTTATCTATTTATCTATCTAAATTGTTTATCAGTTTAATTGCACTGTAATTAATTTAATTAGATTGTCTATTTATGTAACTAAACTGTCTCTGCCATTAAGTAGTTTTCAGTAAGGCATTTCAAAAAATAGATGATTCAATAAGAAAGCTAACTAGAGTCTGTTTTAAGTTAGAGGTTTAGCATATTTTCTAATTATTTACTATCTCATTCTTGCATTGAGAGATAACAGTCACATAAATTTTGAATTCATGAAAACAGATTATTTATTTCCTTCCAGTGGCTGATATAGACTGTACCTCTGTAGAACATATAAGACTTAATGCCCATTTTCTTCTATTTTTAAGCCTCTGTGCTATTTTGTAAGTCTTTGTATACAAACAGAAGTTCAGTCAAAGAAGTAAGAGGATCATATTATATACGTATAGAAAATATGTTTTTTTTTTCTCTTTATGCCTTTGCAGGTTTTAAGAAATTGCTACCCATATTTGAATTCTTACATTTGGTATAAGGATCAAATTAGATTATGTATATAAAATCCTATTTTAAGCTGTAAAATGAGAGGCAAATGCTAGCTAGATATGGCTTACGCATGCAGTAAATACTCCATATATAGTTTTTGAATTGCTAGTCCTTTTCAGATATACAGAAAATTTCCATTGAACCTTAAAAGCCTCAAGAAGAAAGAGAAGTGAGCTAATTTTTTTTTTTTGGCTCAGCTTTTACTCTAGTTACTGGTACATAACGTACCTCTGAAAATATTACTAAGCAATTAGGACAGAGTTGTTTTATGAGATTGACAGTGTTCTTTTAAATGCCACCTATCCAGTGCACATAGTTGAATTTTTCTACTTTGCAGGAATTTGTGCAATTTCTCCAAATAAGAAATATTTGGAGGACTCTAGCATGGCAGAAAACCTCAGTGGGTCTGAATTGTCTAGGACCATACATCGGAAGGATGATGCTTCTTTTCTATGTTAGTGCTTAGTCTCTGCTATTCCACATTTAATGCTTTCTCTGTCTCCTTAAAAACATTTCCAAATAAAAAATTAAAGAAAATCTGATAGGTATGCACTTGCAGACATTGCTTCAACATTTTGTATTAATATAGAACCATTGGTCAGTAATTATGCTGAATATGATTTAGAATAGAAACTGAATTTGAATCTTACCTGTTACCTGTACATTTCTTCTTCAAAGGAAAATATATTTTGTGTACATACACACACATGCGCGTGCGCACGCGCACGCACATATATAATGTCTATTATTTCTGTAATTGATTCTGCAATGATAGCAATAATATATTTTATTTGATAATATCTCCAAAAAACGTTGAAAGTTTTAAGATGTACTTACTTTCTGTTGCAAAAATTACTTTTACATTCAAGAAGTTCAACATCTTTATTACAAAAGGTTTCTGGGAAAAATATAGATTTCTATAAACTATATATACATGGACACAGGAGATTGGTTTATGGAGATGAGCAAAATGACCATCAGACACTCACCAATTGCACTGAACTCAAACTTTAAAACAAAACAAAACCCATTAATATGCAAATGTAGGCAACTCCTGCATTCTTTAACATATTTCTGAATAACTTCTAAAAGGATAAGTTTTTCTTCAATAAATGATGAAACTTCAAGTTTAAAATATATAAACACTAAAAAAATTGATTTCATATCCAAGGGTGAATTTCTCTTTATTTATATCTGTATCCAGCTGGTAGTGGGTGGTATCTCATTCCTGGAAATTCATGTATTGGAAAGGAAATGCTTAAGAGAATATTCATTTAGCTACAAAGCAATGGCATTTCAAGCTCTGAAATGTCATTTGGAGGAGTCCCTGATTCCATGGGGGAGAAATGTGGCTGTTCTTTGGCAGACTTGGTAAAGCTCACTTCTCAGATTGATGGGTCTCGTAAAGTCCTATTGGCTTTGTTGACTGAGCTGTACATATCAGTATGATTTGACTGGGCTTGTGCCATATTCACATTGTGAGAATTATTGTCATTAGTATCATTAATATGCATGCATTCTCCTTGTTGTTCTTTGGATCTGTCTGAAATTTTTAGAGAAATAGAATACTGGCGAGGCCTCAAACTGATGACTGTGTGCATTTTTATTTTAAAAATAAAAGCAATTTATTAATAACCATGCATGGGACCAAGGTGGATAACTAGGAAAACCATGTTACAATTATGTGGTTCATAACAAAATCATTTTTATGTGCAAATTTGATTTGTGTTATTTTTTGTCTTATCTGTTAAAATATCTTTTATGTTTTAGTACTTTGATATAGCTGATTATAGTGATGTAGTCAGGCTTTTATAAATCTAATATTAATGCAGGTTACAGAAGGGGAAAGACCTTCCTTTTATTGATTGATTTTTAACAGCTTTTGTTCTTAATGATCAAAATAAAAGAGTTCATGCCAGAAAACTTGGAAAGTACTAGAGCAAGAAACTCCAAACAAAAGACACCGTAATCTATAATTCCCATAGATGCCTTTGATATTTTGATCTGTTTGTCTTTCCCAGCTTAGGGAACACTGTGGCAAAAAAGTTGGGTTTCTAAAGAATAAAAACACTCACACTCTTCCTCGATTTTTGTTGGGCTGAGTCCACCTCACACATTGAATGGATACATGGAAGAGTGGCAACTACAGTAAGAATACTGATCACATGGTACCTGATTGATTTGCAAGTGTTACTTCTGGGTACAGGCAGTGGGAGGAATCCTGTTAACCTATTATATAAAAAGACTAGCATTGGTATAGGAATTCGAAGTGTTTCCTACCGCTGTAGACCAACTCTTACCTGGTGTCAGGATTGAGTTATTTGTCTGGTCCACTAGACTCAGAGCTTCTCCTAATTTTTTATTTCCTTTATGTTTGTTCTTCTCTTGAAACTTATGGAGACCTAAAGGCCCTATGTGATTCGATTCCAGTATTCCACTCCAAATTTATGTACTTTCATTCTCCAGTTTGCTCAATCAGATACAGTGATACATTCCTTCTTTCTGATTTGCTCTGAAACATGTCAAACTCATTCCTTGTTCAGAGATCTTAGGCTGTATTAACATAATCTGGAATGTCCATTTCCCTGCTCTAATGTCACTTTCTCAGATAGACCTCCCTTCACTACTCTCTCTAAATAACCCTCCAGTTAACACCTATCTTTTTGTTTGACCCCATTTAAAAAATAGAACACATTATTTAAAATTGCTTTGAGGTTTTTATTTATGTATTTATTGTCTGTCTTGATTTTCTGTCACGTTCCCCCAACCTCCGAGCACTGTGATATTAGAATTGAGGTTGTTTATTTTGTACATCTTTGTATCTTCATTGTTTAGATAATTTTAGCACAGAGGCAATGCCTAATAAGTAAATACTGAATGAATGTTGGATAATAGAGCTTGGTTATCTGTTTGCATGAATGTGATTATTAGATAAGTTCCAGATCATAGAATCTTAAGATTCTTCTTTATACTCACTCAAGACAAAGAGGACCTAGTCTCCCAAAACAAAAAGGTTGTCTACCTTCCCCATAGAAAATAAGGAGGATTTTCATTCCTTCATAATATAAATATATGTTTAATACTACACATAATTTTTATTGATTGCATTCTATTATATGGATATAAAATATTTTTAATCACTAACATTTTACTGTTGATCATTTTATTTTCTTCCAGTTGTTCTGTATTATGAATGTCACCTCTGTGGATATTTTTGTCCACATATTTGTGTAAAACTCTGATTATTTCCATAGACTACATTTGTTGAAATGAAATTGCTATATTAAAATGTATGCCCCTCTTTCAGTATTTTCCATACTACCATTTGAAAGTTTGACTGATTAAATACTTATGGTTTAAACACTCATAAGGAAAAATAGATATTTTCAGAAAAGTTTGAAATTCTTGGATACAATTTTTTGAGTTTTCAGTTTTTTTTAATTTAACTGCATTGTTAAAGTGAATAAAGATTGACTTTTTTTTCCAAAGTGAGAATCAGAGAAAACTAATTTGTCTGTCTCACTCTATAGCCATTTTAGCCAAAATAGGAATGTGAATTGTTTCAAATTGTCATTCTTTCTTACTTCTGTTTACTGTTACTCTTAAAATAATTGAGGGTAACCGAAAAATAAGGCTTGAAACACATCAGCAAGAGATTGTATTCATATTGCTCATTGTTTTAATGAATAGAATCCTTTAAGCTAACTTTGAGGGATGTGTATCTCTTTTCTTAAAAGTTAAATGTTACGTTTTATCTCACAAAGATGTCAATTAGCATGCTATAAGAGAAACTCTTTCTAAAACATGCCCCCCCCCCACCACGGGTGGCATGAGCAGATATTTAATGCACCTGCTGCCTTGCAAAAATATCAATCACATTGTACTCCAAAAATGTCCAAGTAAAAAAGGGGCAACATTTAAAATGTGTGGTTTTGGGGTCACCTGTTAAGGTATCTTTAGTTTCCTTTCCTAGAAAAATGATTTTCTTCACTGATAATATTTCAGCTTTGCTTTTAAGAAAAGTTAATGGGTGAAAGGATGGAGTTTAAATTCTTAACAGTGGGTAATTCACTTATTTTCACTATTTGGTTTTACAATTTGAAAAATGAGCATATTTTAGAAGACACTTCCCCAAGATAAGAATTACGTGAGTCTGACAGGAATTATTAAGTATAGCGAGGGAAGATTGGAGAACAAAGTCATTTTGAATACATCTTAGAAAAGGAGATTTTTGGGCAGTTGCGGCTCACGGTTATAATCCTAGCTCTTAGGGTGGCTGAGGCGGGAGGATCTCTTGAGCTCAGGAGTTTAAACCAGCATGGGCAATATCGTGAGCCCTTGTCTCTATTTAAAAAAAAAAAAAAGGAAAAAAAAGTTTTTTTCTTTTTAAAATAACTATGTGGTAAATACTTTTTGAATGAGTTTACATAACTACCTGATGCAATATATTTTCCATGAGGAGCCTCATATTTCTGAGTCCTCAATAGAAAAAATGAGTTTTTAAAGGATATTCCATATAAACAAGTATGTTGCTTTTTACTATAAAGAGTAGCTAAAATTTCTCCTTAAGAAAAGTATTATTTTATCTACATGAGAGGCTTTAATGTCTTTTTGGAGCTGAATATTATCCAGAAGCCCTCAAATTTATAGAACAAATGTGAAGAATATTAAGAATTCTATCTAGCTGGAAAAGCAAGCCTTTGTCTTAGGAACCTGGTGTGTATATTTCAATCTCATATTCTTAACTTTTCTGTAATCCAAATCCCAACTGGTTATGATTTATATTCTAGATTTTAAATTTTTTCCTTTTCATCATTTTACATTCTACCCAAATCTTTAGTAAAAAGCCTATTTTTGGATATTAAACTATTAACACTTATAATTGAATTCAGACTCATCTAGTTAAAATACTAGGGAAACAGTCCAGGACATTGGTCTAGGCCAAGATTTTGTGGCTAAGACCTGGGAAACACAGACAGCATAAACAAAAATAGACAAATGAGACTATATTAAACTAAAAGGCCTTCTGCACAGCACAGGAAACAATCAACAGA
Organism: Homo sapiens; assembly: GCF_000001405.40. NCBI lineage: Eukaryota > Metazoa > Chordata > Mammalia > Primates > Hominidae > Homo > Homo sapiens. Next base: position 88,955,803 of record NC_000007.14, read on the forward strand.
GTGAAAAGACAACCTGCTGAATGGGAGAAAATATTCGCAAACTACTCATCCAACTAGGGACTAATATCCAGAATATACGAGAAACTCAAAGGCAAAAAAAAATTAATTTAAAAGTAGGCAAAGGATCTGAATAGACATTTCTGAAAAGAAGATATACACATGGCAAACAGGTAGATTAAAAGATGAGCAACATCATACATCATCAGGAAAATGCAAATAAACCACAACAAGCTATCATCTTACTCCAGTAAGAATGGCTATTATCAAAAAGACAAAAAATAACAAATGCTGGTGAGGATGTGGAGAAGAGAGAACTCCTATTCCCTGTTGGTGAGAATGCAAATTAGTACAGTCATCTTGGAAAACAGTATGGAGGTTTCTCAAAAAACTAAAAATGGAACTACCATATGATCCAGCAATCCCAGCATTAGGTATTTATCCAAAGGAAAGAAAACCAGTGTATCAAAGGGATGCATGCACCCTTATGTTTATTGCACCACTATTAACAATTGCCAAGATATGGAATCAATCTAAGTGTCCTAAGTGTCTTTTACATCAACCAAATTATGTCATTGTTAATTGCACACATACATAAATAAAAGAAAATTTCAAAAACATGGTTTATGTCATTGGCTTTGCTATTAGCACCTTGCTTATCACTAAAATTAATAACATAGCAATAATAATGTTTATGGCACTCTATTACCATATTTCAAAATTTTAGTTTTATATTTAAAAATAAATAAAATTATAATATCTTAAGTGTTAGAGAAATGTCTGCCATCTAAACTTTTAATTTTCTAAGCTAAAGTAGTCTGAAAGCAGAAAAAATTACCCTCAACTGGACTACTTCTAACTGGGATAGTTTTTTAATATGATGGACCAAGGAACACAGAAAAAATATTAAATGTAGTATATTTCTTCTGGAATTAATTATGAACATGTTAATATAAAATGTTATCTCATACTGTGAAAATCATATTGGTAAGACTCCATGCCATTCTGTATTTCTCTAAAATTCTGTACAAATGCTAGCAACTCTATTTTACTTTTGTTGCATACACTTTTCTTGTGGCATGAAGCTTCAATTTCAGACAGAGCAAACTGTGCCTTGACTTATTCATGCTGCATTAATTAGAGCAACTTATTTTCTTCCTTATAGATGAATACTGCCTAAAAATAGGAGTTCTGACAATCTGTCTCTTATTGATGAAAAAATTTTTTGATACACTTTGAATTGCAACTGAATGAAAGCTCAATGATTAGACTTTGAACATGTCACTCTACCATTCTTCATTTTGTGACTCAGCATTAATATTTTCTGTTTATGAAAGGAAGCCCATTTAAAGTAGAAACTTCTGGCCCCTTTGGCGCTTTATGTTCCCCACATCTTAGAGTTTATCCAGAACACATTTTGTGGTATAATAAGAGAACATACTCACAGCTTGTGTTTATTGAGATGTCTTAAACCTTGCTTTCTTTCTAATTTGATACTTAAGAAACCTTGGATTGACAACCATTGCATTATGATTTTCTATTTGAACAATACTTCTAGCATCAATGCATACTTACTTCAAGGCAGAATAAAGAGGCTAAAGTGAATTCATATTGGTAACCTCAAGCACAATTATACACTGATACAGTATCATTGTATAAATATTACCTGAAAAGTAATCTGTATATGTGTGTGTTTCTTTCATGCAGAGATTATCAAACACATGAATTAAGCAAATATTCAAGGTCTATAATAAGTAGATAAAAATATTTTCTGGTATTCTTGCATTAATTATGAAAGAAGATTGTGACTGAAGTTTTGAAAAATTTTATATTATTCTCACAATTGAGGAATTTGACTTTTAGGTGGATGAGATTTTGAGAAAAAAAGTATTATTTTGAACTGAAATTTTCCTTAATATGTATGATTAAATTCAACTCTATACTGTTATTTTATTGATTTATTTAATTGTTATTCCTTCTCTGGGTCCCTAAACTTTCTTCTTAGTCTTAAAAAATTATTTAATAACAAAAATAAATGTAAAAGAAGATGATAATTGATCATTTACTTCTAAAATACTTAGTCTCTTCATTTATATAAATACGAGTAAATGTGTGTGCATATGTGTGTGTGTGTGTATATATATACAGAGTACTATTATATCTGTAGTTACAGATTTGCTCAATATGAAATAGAAAAACAGAAGAACACATTTTGTTAATGGCAGATTGTACCTCACAGCAGTGAATCTGACATCAGGTGATTGCTTTCTAGATTTCTGAGCAGCAAAAGTAAGTGTTCAATACAAAGTATTCATTTCTGTGAATACTTATCATGGAAAACATGAGCTAAACAATTGGAGCCCACTTGGATCTAGAATTTTCCTTAGAAATTCAAATGATAATGACAGTAATTTCTTTGTATGTTTTTATTTCTCTCATAGGAAAATTTTATTTTATAAATTCAATGGATATAAACACATAAAATATGTCCAAAAAGTTCATTACCTTGAAAATTATTCATAAAAATGGAGGCTCCTCGTGCATATGACAAATACACAATTCAACAATAATTCCAATGCTCATGTTACATGTTTTACTAAAAGACCAAAATCTTTTCATGTATCTTATTTTATTTATGTAACTAATTTTGACTTGTGGCAAGTAATAATAGCTAGGGCTGAGTCACACAGAGCCATCCATAGATATCACCATGAAATATGCCTGTTGTCTTGGCATTTGCCTTATGCTGTTGTCTCTAGTCACTATGAACTATGTATAGTACTCTTAAAATGGCTGGCCACCTTGTGGCTCACCATATGTGTGATTATAATATTTCTGACTTTGAATCGAAGGAGGTGTCACACAGTTTGGCCTTTAACCTACCTCTGGAGACTTTCAGATTTAATGTCACATCGAAGAGTAACTTGTTGCATTTTAGATACTGATTCTCATGATGTAGGATGCTTACATTATTCATTACCCTTCACTTGCTCAAGACAAATACAGACTAATGATAGTGTTGGGAGGAATTCTACGGCACTCATTTCAATCTGCATTAATCTAAAAACTGGAGAGGTGGACATATTATTTCTTTCATATTGTCTTCCCACTAAGGAATTATAATTCCAACTAAATCTCCGAAAGTGGAATCTTTGTTCCTGTATAGACATGTAGTATTCTTTCAAGGTTTCACCTGTGATTGAAAAGAGTTCATTATCTTTGGTAGTGAGTATCATTCACCTGCCTCATGCATTCAGCTTTTTTGACTGCTTTGTGAGCTCTTACTCTAGAGGTTGTCTGACTTTTGACTTTTCATTTGTATACCAAGATCATCCTCTCTGAAGTGTTCCCCTTCAATTTGGTAAGATTCATGTTTCTTTCTTGTTATGTAGTACACATTTCTTATGTATTGTCATTGTCAGTGTTTATGGCAAGTTTACCCTTACAGGTGAACTTTGTGAAGAGGACTATTCAAGTGTGTTATGTTACCTTGTTACTACATTTTACACATAAGCTTAAGTATTAGTTAAATAAATATGTGGGTCCAGATTGTTTGAGGGAATGTTTTGCTGGTTATTAACTAGCTCCAAGACATTAAAACTTTCTTAGACTAGAAATGTTTATGTGTTTTTAATACACATAACTGCAGTCTTACTGTCCTGAAATCTTTTAGCCTCCTGGAAACTCTTATTTTTATTTTAATATTCAAATAATATGGCTGGAACCTTTATTCTACTTTCTTGAGAATATCTGAGAGCTGTCATTTCTCCTTCTAAGCTCTTCCTCTGATACCTGGTTTCTGCCAATTTGTCCATCCCCACACTGAATCTCATCTGCAAGTACTTCCCTCATAGATTTATAACGTGTTTGCATACTGATAGCTGCTCTCATCTCCTCCCACCTCTATTGACACAAATTCATGATAGCTGTGTATAGTCAAAGTATTAATTATTTGGAGGGATGGAAGTGGTTTATAGCACTGTACACTGTGGGCAGCAGCTTAAAATGTCATATTAGCTACCACGCAAAAATTCATCCATCCCATGCCAGGGGAAACCTTTTACAGGTCATGCTCCTTCTATGGCCCCAGTTTATTGTTATCTTCTGAGCCTCTGTGAAATTTTCCTTTTTTTCTAAGTTTTGGCACAAATATTCTTGATAACTCCTTGTACACAAAAATTAGCTTGCACTGTCCTCTGCAATGAAAATTTTGACCTTTAATAATTTGCCCTGAAGAAGACAAAAAAGTCTTTAAAATGTTTTTTTAAACAAAGACTGTTTCCCCTTTTTTAAATCAAATGTGTCTGTTGTACAAATTATTACATAAATTTTGTTATACATTTATTGTTACAGTTGTTTATTCAATTATTTTCAAAATATATTTCAAAATGTATTTTAAAAATAACTAGGTGAAGATTATGGGCTATGATCTGTTCTGAAAGACAGCACCAGAAATAAGACCCCACCCCTACCGTCAAAATGCTCAGTCTACTGGTTGGCAGATGGAGAAGTGGTAAACAGAGAACTATGATGTAGTTTGACTTGAGCTATACCAAAAATAATGTGGCAGCACCAGTGGTGTTATCTGGCCTGGAAAGGAAAATGTGTATGTGCGGGAGTGGGGGATGGTGCTCACAGAAGGCTTCTAGGAGAAAAAGTTATTTGAGATATTTGGGCATGAGAGGGAGGAATAAGAGAAGGTACAAAGGAGAAACGTAGAAATAAGGAGGGATAAGAAATGGGGCAAAGTACTCTCTTAGGTGACTCTTAGGTGAGGGCTAAGTTAAAAATATACATAGAGTATTGTTAGCTCTCTTAGAGATCTATTTATTTAACATATTATCTTTGTGATTTTTTTAAGTTAATAGTTTCTTCTATTTATTTCCATGATGTCAAGATACTTTTCTCCTTTCTGAAATATAGTACTGAATTCCACGAGCTTTGTGAAAATATGTTTTGTTGAAAAATTACTTACATGATATAATTAGTGTGCCTGAGTAGACTTTTCATCTCCATCAGACATGGTGTAGCTGTTTTTGGAACAAATATTTATTGAAAAAAAGAAAATATTCAATTGCCTGTCAGTTTTCTGTTTAAACAGAAACAAACAAAAAGTTTGATACTTTTTCCTTCTGAATCCACCAATGATTTTGTCATTGACAAATAACCTTGGATAATTAAGATTTATTGAGGATAAAACCTCTGCAAGGTAGGAACTTCAGAGAGTTTTAGTGTATGAAATATATTTTAGACATTAAAGAACTGAATGTGAATCAAAACCTCTGATTCTATCACATGTGCTCTTAGGCACAATAAAATAATGAAAAAACACCCAATTCTATTCCAAAAAGCTTTTAACTTGAAATTGAACACATCTATTGCAGTTTAAAGGAAAGTTTTCTAAATAAACAATAATTATGTCGTGTGTTGTATAAATAATTTATCCATGTATTTTTAAATTACTGTTAGAATTTTTAGTGTCTTATTATTTTAAAGACAGCATACGTTTTCTTTGTTTGGGTGGAACCATCATTCACTAATCTTTAACGTGGTTGTTTGCTGGTGTTCTCCAATTAAGCCTCATAGGTTGTGTAATTTATGAATGTTTAGATGCTAAATGAAGATTGATTGCTGTCCTGCACTTCAGTTTGAGGTATCCACAAAGGAAACATCTTTAGTATTTTTTCTGCATGACTATTTTTGAAGTTTTTATATCCCTAAATGCAGCAGTGACCTCTTTACAGCTTTTAAAATGAAAAGAAAAAATTCAAGCACTGGTTTGTAAAGTACCTAGCTGAAATGAAATTCCTCAAGAAGAGCTCATGAGATTGAGTTTTTCCATATCTCTTCACAGAATTTGCCCTCATGGGCATGAGGTAAAAAAGAACTCAGTGGTTCATGATTAATGTCAGGAAACTATGATCCTGGCATGACACAAACTATATCACCAAAAGCAAAAAGTAAAGAAAAATGATGATTGCTCAGCAATTTACACCAGAGGATGAAAGGGAAAGGCATTTTAAATTAATGGTCCCAAAGCCTTGACGCTGCCCTGCCACATTTCATCAATCTGGTCTGAGACATATCTCCTATGAAAAGGGGACTTCATAGTCACTTAACGAATACCAAACAGTAAAGTTTTTAAATAGAGGCTCCTTTTACATTTTACATTAGAATTTTCTCTGTAATACACAAGGTTTTAGTGTAGAATTTGATTAAAATATACTCTGCTGCCTGGAAAAGCTTTTCCTTGTAAAGCTGCCTAGTTTTATTGTCAAAATGGTATTCGACTGCAATATCTTTAATTGCATTGAAGAAACTGGTAATGACAATTCATTGTCCTGAGGTTTTTATAGACCTAAAATGGTTTATCTCTGCACTCACTTCCTTAAGGACCAGAAGTTGTTTTGTAGAATTTGTATAGAACGCTGTTTATACTGGTAAATTATGGTTTCTCTTCACACAGCATCATTTGCTCTTCTCTCCACTCAGGATACCATCTAATTCTACAGTTTATGTAGCAAGCATCCAGCCAGATGACGATATGTAGTTGTATCAGTGTAGCAGTCATGCATTGCTATTCAGGTTTCTGAAAAAGAGTAGTGTTATGGGCAGTGTTCTGATTTAAACTTGCTCCTCATTGAACTCAGTATTGCTCCATCTTAGGTCATTTTTGAAAAAGCACAGAAAGAAGAGTTCCTAACGAGGTGGCTGCGAATCGATAATTAGAAGGAACATTCTCCATGAATGTCTTGCTTAGGAAGTATACCTAAGAATTGGGGTCTAAGAATATATAAACCATGTTTTTGGAAATTTATTTCATTTATGGATGTGTGCAGTTAACGAAGTGACCTTGTGGGATGGATTGTCTGCTTTTCACAGAAAAGTTATAAATGTTGTTAAACTCACATATATATATATATATATATATATATATATATATATATATGAATACGTATTTATATAATTACATAATTATAAATTTATAGTCTTAAAAAGAGAGAAAGCATTTCATTCAAACATTAGCTTAGTAGTTTTTTTCTGTAACAGAAATGTGTACAGTGCTATTATGAAGGTATGCACTCAGTAGGTACAGCCACTTTTATTTTTATAATGTATTTTCATAACATCACACAGAAAAATACCCTAGACAATTAACATGTTTAGCTTCTGAGTTACATGAATGCAGCCTAATTAGAAAGGTGCCATCTAAGACGGTCTCAAAAGCAAGGAGGAGGGAAGGACATTCCCTTTTCATGGACTAGAAGACTTAATATTATGAAGATGTTAGCACTACCCAAAGTAATCTACACTTTCAGTATAATTCCTACCAAAATCCCAATGATGTATTTTCAGGAGTACAAAAATAATGCTAAAATTCATACGGACTCTGAAAGGGGCACTGAATAGCCAAAACAATCTATAAAAAAACAAAGTTGAGAGACTCATACTTCCTGATTTAAAAACATGTACAAAGGTACAGTAATCCAAACAGTGTGGTGCTGGCACAAAGCCAGATATATACACCCATGGAATAGAACAGAGAGCACGAAAGTAAGTCCTCATGTATATGGTCAAATGATTTTCAATAAAAGTGCCCAAACTTTTCAGTGAGGAAAAGGCAGTACTTTCAACAGATGGTGCTAGGAAACATGGCTATCCAAATGCAAAAAAATGAAGTTGAATCCTTTACCTTATACCTTATACACACATCATATACACAAATTGACTCGAATGAAAAATCTAAACATATGAGTAAAAACTATGAAAGCTGCAGAAGAAAACATGGGGCAAAATGTTTATAATTGCATTTGCCTGTTATTTCTTTGCTATGACTCCAAAGATAAAGGCAACAACAGAAAAAGAATGATAAGTTGTATATCATCAAAATTAAAAACTTTTTTTTACATCATAGAATCCTGTTAGGAGATTTAAAGGACAACCTATGGAATGAGAAAAGGTATCTGTAAATCATATACCTGACAAGAGAGTAACAATATATCAAGGACTTCTACAAATTATGAACAAACAAATAAACAAAAAAGTAAAATAATAAAATGACAAAGGATTGAATACACTTTTCTCTAAAAAAGATAAATGCCCAACAAATGCATGAAAAGATGATGAACATCATTAATCAGTAGGGAAATGCAAATTAAAACCACCTTACAACTATTAATATGGCTATTACTAAAAGAAAGCTGAACAATCCCCAAGAAAACTGAATATAACAAGTGTTGGCAAGGATGTGGAGAAATTGAAACACTTGTGCACTGTTGCTGGGAATGCAAAATGGTGCAGCTGCTGTGGATAAAAAGTGTGGCAGTTCCTCAGAAAACATAGAATTGTCATATGATCCAACAATTCCATTTTACTAGATATACACCCAAAATAACTGAAAGCAAGAACTTGAACAGATATTTTTACACCAATTTTCATAGCTGTGTTATTCACAATTGCCAAAAAGGTGGAAATTACCCAAATGTCTATCAACAGATGAGTGAATAAACAAAATGTGGTATATACATACAATGAAATATTTTTGATCTTACAAAGAAATTCTGATCTATAATACAACATGGGTGAACCTGGAAAACATTACGCTAAGTGAAGTAAGCTGCACACAAAATGGGAAATATTATATAATTCCATTAAGTGAGATACATAGAATAGTCAAATTCATAAAGACAGAAAGTAGGATAGTGGTTTACCAGGAGTCAGGAGGAAAGATGGTGAGGAGTTATTGTTTTATGCATACAGAGTTTCAATTGGGAATGCTGAAAATTTCTGGAGATAAACAGTGGTGATGATTGTGCAACAATGTGAATGTACTCAGTGCCACTGAATTGTAAACTTAACAACAGTTAAATGGTGAAGTTGATGTTGCATATATTTTACAACAAAACAAAAAGAAGAAAACTCATGTGAAACAACATGTCTGGTATTCATATAACCAGTGTTGTGAGCACTCACCTTTGCTTTCTGTACTACTGTGGGAGCAAAACAGGCTCTTAGAAGCTCACCTGAAATTTGAAGAGAGCAGAGCTCCACAGCTGCAAGGAAGTCTTGCATACAGCAGAAACAATTATATAAAGCTTCTTAAAGAATCTACCCCTATGATTTCCCTAAGTATATATTGTAGTTCAGAGAGAAATTTTGGGCAAAATTTTACTGTTGAAGAAAATTTATTTTATAGGGTATGAGGGTTTATAACATATAAGGTGCCAATACTTGAAAAGAATATTGTTTTAATAACCCAGGAAATAAGTTAAACATTTGAACTCTTAAATATTAAAGGGTAGAAACAATAAAACTAATAAAGATAATTTTCTTGGTAAAACAATATCTTCATTCTACCTCTACCCCATCATGGTGTCTTCACAAATTTCACCTTGACTTAGTACCTTCTTTCCTTACAAAATAACTTTTTTCCTGCATTATAATGGAGTGAAATCATGTGTTCAGAGGACTTGCAGAGAGAATAGGTTAAAGAGATTCTCTCTTTTGTTTCTCTCTTTGTTTTGGAAGCTGGAATCAATGGAATTTCTCAACCCTGTTATTTTAAAATAGCCCTGCATGAATCTTTGTAAGTCCATGCGTAGAGTGGATATAGGGCTAGGAGCTATTTTTTTGCTGTTAGAAAGTTGAATCTTCATCCATAAGAAGTTTAACCTTGAAAGGGTGACAATCAGTGATGAGGAGCCTTATGTGAGGATTGCCATTTTTCCATTTACGTTTGGCTATCACAAATACGTCTGAGCTATAAAGAGATGAGAAACTTGAAAACAGATGGCCCATCTGTTTCTGTCTGTATGAATTGTGGAGCATTTGAAAGAAATGCCAATCATGTAAATTGAATTCTAAGAGCACTCTACAATTCCCTAAGTTTGTCCTTACAAGCCATTGTGAATCACTGCCGTATCTTTTTCTTATTGCAGTGAATTGAGAGTATTTGCTACTTGTAAAGATTATTTTGCTATCTAATAGCATATCATTTATCTTTAAGCAACACTAAGCAAACAAGGATTAAGATGACAATCAATCAGAATCATTTCACCTTTCTCAAATGTCTTTAAAAAGTGCATAATCCTGAATGACAAACAACTATGAAGTAGTAAATACGGGTGATTAAGAGGAAAAATTTTTGCAAGCAAAAAGTCCTAAGTTTAAATCACCTCAATTAAGTAAAATTCTTTTAATATATGTGTTATCTTAAGTGGGAATTGTCAAATTCTATTATATATCTAATTCATAAGTCAGTTCCAGAGAAAAGATAGAAGCTTTCATAATTTTTTTGCATTGACTAAACCATGCAGTAGCCCACATCTTTCCAGCATGTTTTGAAGGAATTCTTTATTAATATTATCATATAATAACTAGAATTATATGTGTGTACAGATATTATAATACTTTCCTAAACAATATAGTGTTATGTATAATTTTGTTGCATATACTTCTTAAGTAATATTAATGTATGTGCAATAAAACCAGCTTTTTGGTGAGGTGTGGAAAGAGCAGATGTAATAATGGACAAAATGATTGTAACATTAATCTATAACTATTGCAACTAATCATAACTGTACATCTGAACCACAAGAGTAGCCTGGGCCTCACTTCTTGAAATTGGTTTGGTACGTTTGAACTGATGCCAAGTATGACCTGTAGTTTTAAAAGAACTCCTGAAAATTCTCAGTGCTCTTCCTCCAGTTAATATTTATTGATATAGAAGAGTGACGGCTCAGCCTTTATGTATTAGATAATTGCACTCTAACATATGTGTTATTGTTGTAACCTATTTGTAGAATAAATAAGAGAAGATGAGTTATTTATTTTCCTTGCTGTCCTTCTAAACTCATACTAAGGTGCTAGTCTTTTCCTGTCTGTATGTGAAGTTGAGGGTAGTCTCCATGACTTTTAGAGTCATTTACAAATAATAAAAGGCATCTAGACACACACATACATACACACACACACAAACACACACAATACATATACAGAGAGAGATTAAAAAAACATTCTCAGTTCAATTATTAATATTTCAAGACACGTGTAATGTTGCAAGTAAGTCTGGGCCTCCCTTTGCTCCACCATAGGTGTACTGATTCCATTGCAGCTTGTTGCACTTCACAGGAGCCTGACACTTACAGGATCTAGAATTCTGGACTTTTTTTTTTTTTTCAAGTGTAATACACCAGTCCACTGTGACCCCCAAACTCTGGGAAACACCAGGCTTTTAAATGGTCACTTTGGAGTCCCTTTAATTTTACTTACATATGCCTTACAGAGTTAAATAGAAACCTTTCAGTTTTTGATAGTATAAAAGGAAAGATGAAGGAGATGATGCACATTGCTATGAAGAACTATCTAAGACTGGGTAATTTATGGAGAAAAGAGGTTTAATTGACTCACAGTTCCACAGGCTGTACAGCTGTCATGGCTGGGGGACCTCAGGAGACTTTCATTGCAGAAAGGTGAAGGGAAGCAAGAACATCTTCACATGCTGGCAGGAGTGAGAGAGCAAAGGGGGAAGTGCTACACACTTGTAAACAACCAGATCTGGTGAGAACTCACTCACTATTACGAGGGGGAAATCCACCCCCATGATCCAATCATGTCCTACCAGGTCCTTCCCCCAACACTGGGAATTACACTTCGATGTGAGATTTGGGTGGGGACACAGAGCCAAACCACACCAATGGACAAGGGACAGACCACTTCATGTTAATGTCTCAGGTTGATGAAATAAGCAGAAATTTAAGAAAATGATTTAAATTGCAAAGGTAACCAATAGTATTACTAATAGAACAATAGTAAAACACCGTGGGGAGGCAGTCTAGAGCAGCTGATGAATAACAAACGAATACATTCTTATCTTTCAGGGTAGGAAGTCATGAATGATGACTAGAATTGAAAAAGCAAAAAAAAAAAAAAAAAAAAATCATGTGTAAAGATGAGATTATAATTAGGAACTTTAACACGAGAAAATTTACTGTTTTTCAACCATCCTCATCCAAAATTGTTCCTGGAGCCAGAGAAGGGTGTGAAAGAGTACTGTAGGCCTTTGCTACCAGTAACTTCATTAGAGTTAATGGAAATATTTAGTCTACAGCCATACCACCCCAAATACACCTTCATCTGATCTTGGAAGCTGAGCAGGGTCTTTGGCTTGGTTGGTAATTTAACTGGACACTGCCTGGGAATACAGGACACTTTTTTATAAAAGGAAACATTTAAAAAATAAGAGTGTGACTATATTCTAACCTTTCAAAAAAAATTCATCAAGAGAGTCTTCTAGATATTCTTAAAATTTAATAACAAAAATTAAGTCAAAGTTAACCGAATTTTTCAAGAACTAAAATGGTGTTAGAAATTTGTCATGTTAATGATATTTAATAAGGCAATATTAAGTTGTTAGGGACCTTATGTTGAAATTTACTAATACTATTGTCCTTTTTTAAGCGATAACTTTTGTCAAAGTGGCAAGGAGGTTTCGGATGGGCAGAAATTAGTGCACATGTTGTACCTTCCCTGATACGGAAAACCCTGATTCATCATCTTTTTCTGATTGTATCATTTTTGCTCTTGTCACTAATTTGTATTCTTTTTTCCTTCCTATGAATGCTTTCCAAATAGCATTCTCAACACTTTGCTCTCTTACTATCCTGATGGATCCATCCACGTTCCTAGGCTTAAACATTTTAATTTGTTGTGTTTTCATGTCTTTCTTTGCCTACAAGATTGTGTTGAGACTGATATGGTGAGTGCCTTGAACACTGCCTGAAACTGATTGTCTAGAATGAATAAAATGAGCTAGACAATGAATGAATGAATAAATCAATGCAGTTATGGAAGAATAAGGTGCATACATTGCTTTCAAATTGTAAGGAGACTTTTCAGATAGGAAATGTCACACCAAAATATTTAATTACAGCATTAAGACTGGACTGATGAGAACTAAACTGCCTCCTTATCAAGAGTTATAAAAAGAAGTACTGTGCTACCTCAGGTAGTTCACAATATACTGTGTACATCCTTAATCCATATTACATAGGTTAGATTTATTTTTGAATATATATAATTTTTCTTGGACACGTATCTTTTCTACATATATGTTTATTGTTAAATGCATATTTTATATGTTTACAATTACAGTCTTACATACACTGTTTATATTAACTCTTTATCAGATCAAGTAATTACTTTCTCTCTGTCAACTGAAAATTGGGTTTTTATTAAAGCAGCTAATGTTTCTCTAATTTCCTTTATCCAGGTTAGAAAGTGTCTATCTCTTGGTTTTACAGATCAAATAACCTATAACCTCATCAAAATAAAGCATATTTGCTACTAATTACATTTAGTATATAGTGATATTAAATTAATTTTCCATGAAGACTCTATTACTGAGGCTTCATTTAGTTAATAATAATAAAGATTCTGGGAGTCTTAGTCACTCTCTTGTTGTTATAGCAGTGCATAGCTTTTAAAAGTGAATGACTTGATGTTCAATTGCGTTTTATAAAACATCAAGGTGCATTTACTTTGCCTTGTATAAGAAATTGATGAGTATGTGAGATGAGGTTAATGCAATGGGTAAAATACATCAATTCCATGTTACAACTAATAGCCTTAATAGTTTAGCAAACCATATAAAAGTTTGCCTTTAAATGGACACTTAGGCTAATTTGACAGCATGCTTGCCATTAGGCAACAATTCCTGTCATTAGAGTGATGACATTTTTTTCTTCCATCCCCACTCAATTCTAGAAAAACAAGAGAGAGGAAGAAAGGAGGACAAACTGTTTACTTCTAACATTAAGTTGTGGTGCCTGTGAGTCAAACTAATTATGCTTTTGTAGCTGAAACAACCAATAAATTTTCACAGCTGGTACTTTGCACCTGAAACACTTTGCATTTATTAGCTAAAATTATTTGCTATATACATGATTGCTTAGAGAGGGGAGATTTTTTTCTAAAGCTGTATTTTATATCACACTGGTAGTCATTTTCTTCCAATTTTTGAAACAAGATATAAACCTTCTATATAAATTGCATAAATATTAGGGGTTTAAAAATTGTTTCGCTTAGTATTGTAATATAACATATAATAGAATTATTTCCAAAAATGAGAATCTTGACTGGCAAATACGTCTGAATACAGTTATAAAACCTGAAGAGGTAACACTCAACTGGTCTCTTCCTCCTTTGCTCCTTTTCTCTTTCCCTTCATTTCCCTTTTCTCCTTCCCTTCATTTCCCTTTTCTCCTTCCTTTCCTTCCTTTCCTTCCTTTTTTACTTCTCCATCCACCTTTCTTCCCCAAAGCAGTAATTGTGCAAAGTCTATGCTGTTTTCAATGACAGTAGACATTTAAGTGACATTATTGTATAATAATTGTATTTTATTTTATTTTGTTTTAAGTTCTGGGATACATGTGCAGGATGTGCAGGCTTGTTACATAGGTAAACATGTGCCATGGTGGTTTGCTGCACCCATCAACCCATCACCTAGGTATTAAAGCCCCACATGCATTAGCTATTTATTCTGATGCCCCCCCCCCACCCCCACAACCCTCTACACTGTTGTATTATAATTTTGTCTATGCCTCTGGATCAAATGACACTGAAAAATAAAAACTTTATATTCCAAACATTTTATAATAAGTAAACCAGATATTCTAAGATTTCCTTTTGTAATTTTGCAGGTCTAATATTAATTTTTCTTTTGCAAAATCAAAGCAGATTTTACTGATATAAATTAAATATTTTATTTCTTACCTATGTCGTTAAGAAAATTGTACAGAATATACAGGGTTGGGAAACTGTAGCCCATGGAAGAAATCTTGCCCACTGCCTGTTTCTGTAAATAAAGTTCTATTGGAACACAGCTGGAAACCATCATTCTCAGCAAACTATCGCAAGGACAAAAAAACCAAACACCGCATGTTCTCACTCTTAGGTGGGAATTGAACAATGAGAACACAAGGACACAGGAAGGGGAACATCATACACCGGGGACTGTTGTGGGGTGGGGGGAGGGGGGAGGGATAGCATTAGGAGGTATACCTAACGCTAAATGACAAGTTAATGGGTGCAGCACACCAACATGGCACATGTATACATATGTAACAAACCTGCATGTTGTGCACATGTACCCTAAAACTTAAAGTATAATAATAATAAAATTTAAAAAAAGAACAAAAAAAAATAAATAAAATAAAGAATAAAAAAATAAAAAAAAAACAGCCTTGCCTATTATTTCTTTACTTATTGCTAGGCTGCTTTCACACTTCAAGCAATGGCAGAATTGAGTAGTTGCAACAGCTAGCAGATGGTCTTAAAAGCCTAACCTATTTACTCTATAGCTCTTTCAGCAAAGATTTGCCAAATGCTGCACTAGAGTGTTCACTTAGCTTGATATTTTGACCGTTTGGTCAATGACTGAAGTTTCATATAGCATTGGTTTGAAGGTCATTGCTGCATACTATATAAGTCAGCATATGGACATTTATTCCTTCATTCAGCCATATCAAATGTTTCTTTTGCCAGGCAATAAGAAGACAAAACTCAATAAGACAATTTTTGACAATAAAGAAATGTATAAATATATATTATCATGTACAAAACTCTGAGATATATTCTGTCATTCTTCTACAGTTTGTATATATATTCTGTCACTCTTCTACAGTTTGTAAGGAGTACTGTGGAAGTCATACTTGTTCCATTCACCCTTCCAATTCTCCAAAATAATTATCTGCAGAATAAAGCAGTAGCCTTTAACTTCTGAAATTACAGTTCTGCAAAATGTTAAGATATGGAGATAAATTTCATAGCTAATGGGACACATAATTGTAACCTAAGATAAAAATTGTATTCTTTTTAGTGGCATAATTTTTCTGATTTGTGCCTGCCTTATCCACCTATATTCTACTCACACATGAAGATACATAATTTTTACAATATTACCCTTTTATTATTATTTAAACAGAAAATGCATTGCACCAGAATTTCCTTCTAGCAGAATGTGCATTCACTCTGTGAGGACATTCTCAGTGTTCTTTGGGGGAAATAGATACTCTAGGGACCTGGAGTGGAAGAGATTAAGTAGGACTCCATTTACTGTTTCATTTGGTTTATCTTTTACCGCTTTTCCAGTTTACCAGAGTTGTAGATCTAGAGCTGCAGGTTTTTCTAAAGGAGATCAAATTTGACATAGTGATATATTGAGAAATAAAAACAAGATAAGGAAACAGTATTTCCTTATCCCAGTTCCTCCAGAAGTATTTAGTTGTAAAGTCTTTATTGAGAAGCCATTACATGTCCAGCACTTTGCTAAGAGATGACATTGAGCTCAAAGCTTCACTAAAAATGGAATTTGAATTGTGTATTTTTTCTCCATCTTTCAATGACTTGTACACCACAAGTGTGCTCCAATCTACTTATACTGTCTCATTTCTCACCAGCTTAAAATGTCTACTCTTTTAAACTGTTTCCAGTTTCTCCAGGCAGTTTTTATTGTTCTAACCTGTCTTAAAGTAGCCTGTTATTTATCTCTTGGTAGTAATACCCAATTTATTTTATTATAAATCATGTATTTATATGTCAGACTGTCTTCCTAAATGGCCAGCTTTCCAAGGTTAGGAAGCTGTATTTTATTCAGTCTTTTTCCCTGCCAGGTTCCAACATAATGTGTCCTAGGTGTACCTAGCATAGCCTATGTACTTAATGAAGATTAGTGTAGGATTGTGATAGAAAAAAAGTCCCCTGTTAATTATCAGTTTTTCATAAACACACATTTAATCACAAAATACAACATTCTATTGAAAAATGGAAGAAAGTGTTGATATAAGAGGTACTTTCAGATTGAAATTTTTATCATCTTTGAAACTGTCCTTTAAAAAAATATAGTTAGGAGTGATAATCTCTACACTATTTGAAGATTACTGAGTCTGACAAAAAAAAAACCAGAACTCCAAGGGTTCCATAATTCTTCTCACTAATAGTATACCTGCCTTTAAGTCAAAAATAGAAGATGTGTTTGGAAAAAGAAGGAAAGGAGAAATACAGGAGTACATATAGCGTTATGAGTGACAGACTTGCAGATTGAATTTCTACAAACTTCTTTGTTAACAAGGCCTTAGTATGGGATTCTGCCCTCTGATACTATTCTTATTTCATGATTTCTAAGAGGTAAATATCCATATTTTCCAAAGACAGTGAATGACACATAGATATCCTGCAGTAAGAGATTGCTAATGCAAGTTATTGACTGAATATTGAAGTAACTATTGGTATTTTAATGTTCTTCTCTTTAAGAAAATTCTGCCACTCTCTACTCCCACTCAAGGGTTTTTTTTTTTTGCATGATGCCAAGTTTTACATATTCATTAAAATAATGTGCAATCTTTTTTTTTACATATTGTAATCCATTATGTACCTTAAGTGATATAAAGCTATTGTCTCTGGGGAGAAAACTTGTATCCCTGTGAATAAGTTTAGTTTATTATAGAAAACACAAAGCTGCTTACTTCAGAGCTTGTAAGATATAGAATAATAGGTACCAAAAGCCACAAGAAGAATGTTCAGGGAAAACAGGCCAATCCTGGTATGTTTTCTGTAAATCTCTCTCTCTCTTTTTAAATCTGAAGTGTGATGTGTTTTGATCAAAGATGAACATGTATCAATAAAACCTGGAAACATACTTAACTGTGCTTTTTAATTTTCTAGCTAGCAATGTTCTCTTCTAGAACACTTCGAAGTATAATCTTTTTTTTTTTAAGGCTGTTGACTCAAAGTTACAAGACATAGATATGCCATTAGCAAGAGATTGAAAAGTGAATTATTTTTGTACACACTTTTATGCTACAGTGACCTATGCTTTTGATCTTGGGAGAAAAGGTGTATTTTATTGAGTATTTATGAGACCATGATAAAGCTCAGTGTTAAACTTAATAGTCAGTGGTTTCTTTTTGTGTCTAGCATTTTGCTTATTAGAGGAAAAGAAACAGGAATATAATGTGTATAGCTGTTTATGTATTAAATGATCTTGTTGAACAAGAATTCGTAAGATGCCATCATCCCATTGACACAACTTTTTTTAAATTCCTTATGGCTCTTTTTCCTGTTCTTATGAGAAAATAGTGAGATGTTCATTACTTTTCTGGACTACCATAGAAAGTACAAAGCCCTGAGTTTATTTGAAGTCTCACACTTAGTACAATTCTGAAGTTTCAGTGTCTAATTTCTGACAATAATCCAAAGTCATATGATAAAGGTTGCATAGTCATTCCTCCTATAGGGGATATATAGGGATTCCCGAAGTGGCAGAAGTCACCTTCTCCCTGACTGCCAACTGCAGATAGTGAAGAAAAGTGTTCAAGACAGTTTCTTAGTGAAACTCTCTGGGCCTCATGAAAATATGAAAAATAGTAAACACAAATATGTAAATACATATATATGAAAATATATCAGATATAAATATAAAATCTTTAGAGATATTTAAAATACTCAAGTTGGACAACATGTTGACTACAGTTGACAATATATTGTATTATTGAAAGATGTTAAGAAAGTGGATGTAAAGCATTCTTACAACATAAATGATAATTATGTGAGGTAAAGCATGTATCAGTTAGATTTAGTCATTCCACTAATGTACATATACTTTAAAACATCATGTGGTACATGATAAATATATATAATTTTATCTGGCCCTTAGAAAAATAATTTTAAAAAATCAATATTGATAGTTTATCTCATGTTATAGTCTGTTTGAAATCTGAAGTTAAATCATATTTACTATGAACAAAAGGTTTAAAAATTAAAATTCAAGCTGATTCTTTAAATTTTAAAATTATTTTTAATTTTTATGGGTATGTAGTAGGTGTACATATTTATAGGGTACATGAGATATTTTCATACAGGCATACAGTATGTAATAATCACAGGAGGGTAAATTGGGTATCCATCACCTCAAATATTTACCATTTCTTTGTTATAAACATTCCACTTATACTTTATTACAAAATGTATAATAAATTATTGTTGACGGCAGTCACCCTGTTGTGTAAGCAAGTACTGGATCTTTTTCTTTCTTTCTAACAATATTTCTGTACCCATTAACCATTTCCACCCCCTGACTTTTCCCAGCTTCTTGTAACCATCACTCTACTCTCTACCTCCAGCAGTTCTATTGTTTTAATTTTTAGCTCCCCAAAATAAGTGAGAATATGTGAAATTTGTCTTTCCATGCCTGGCTTATTTCACTTAAAATAATGTCTTCCAGTTCTATCCATTTCGTTGCAGATGACAGAATGGCATTTTTTTATAGCTGAATAGTACTCCATTGGGCATATGTACCACATTTTTCTTATCCATTCAGTCTGTGGATGGACACTTAGATTGCCTGTAAACTTTGGCTGTTGTGAATAGTGCTGCAATAAACATGGGAGGGCAGATGTCTCTTCAATATACTGATTTCCTGTCTTTTGGGTATATTCCTAGCTGTGGGATTGCTAGACCATATGACCATTCTATTTTTAGTCTTTTGAGGAACCTTCATTCCATTCTTCATAGTGATGTTACTAAGTTACATTTTCACCAACAGTGTACTAGGGTTCCCTTTTTCGCACATCCTCACCAATATTTGATATTGCTTGTCTTTTAGGAAAAAAAAAGTGATTTTAACAAGGATGAGAAAGTATCTCATTGTTGTTTTGATTTGCATATCTCTCATGATCCTTGACACTGAGATATACCTGTTTGCCATTTGTATGTCTGCTTTTGAGAAATCTATATTCAGATCATTGCCCATTCTTAATCAGATTATGAAATTTTTTCTCATTGAGTTGTTTGAACTCCTTATATATTCTGGTTATTAAGCCTTTGTTGGATGGGTAGTTTGCAAGTTATTCTCCCAATCTGTGGGTTGTCTCTTCATTTTGTTGATTGTTTCCTTTGCTCTGCAGAAGCTTTTTAATTTGATGTGATTGCACTTGTCCATTTTTGCTTTGGTTGCATACAAAGTTGAGTAATACCCCCAAAGTGCATGCAACCAAATCCAGTGTCCTGCAGAATTTTGCCCAATGTTTCCTTTTAGTAGTTTAATAGTTTGGGATCTCAGATTTAGGTTTTTAACCCATTTTGATTTGATTTTTGTATATGGTGAGAGATAGGGGTTCATTCTTCTGCATATGCATATCCAGTTTTCCCAGTGCCATTTATTGAAGAGACTGTCCTTTCTCCAGTGTATGTTCTTGGTACCTTTGTTGAAAATGAGTTCACTGTGGATGTATAGGTTTATTTTTGGGTTCTCTATTCTGTTCCATTGGTCTGTAGCATAATTTGAAGTCAAGTATTAGTTCTGTAGTATATTTTGAAGTCAGGTAATGTAATTCTTCCGTTTTTGTTCTTATTGCTCAGAATGGCTTTGGATATTCTGTTTTTTATGGTCCTATAACAATTTTAGGATTATTTTTTCTATTTCTGTGAAGAATGTCCATTGGTATTTTGATAGGGATTGAATTGAATTTGTAGATTTCTTTGGTTAGTATTGATATTTTTAACAATATTGTTTCTTCCCATTTATAAAGATGGAATATTTTTCCATTTTTTGTGTCCTCTTCAATTTCTTGCATCAATGTTTTAAATTTTCAATGTAGAGATTTTTTTGGTTAATTCCCAGATACTTGATTTTATTTGTACTTATTGTCAATGAGATTATTTTTACATTTCTTTTTCAGACTGTTCGTCGCTGGCATATGGAAATGCTACTGGTTTTTGTATGTTGATTTTGTATCCTGCAACTCTACTGAATTTATTAGTTTTAATTTTTTTGGTGAACTCTTTCAGTTTTTCCAAATATATGATTATGTCATCTGCAAACAGGCATACATAATTTGAATTCTTCCTTTCCAGTATGGATGCTCTTGATTTCTTTCTCTTGTCTGATTGCTCTAGCTAGGGCTTCCAGTACTATATTAAATAACAGGGATAAAAATGGGCATCTGTTTCAGGTTTCATATATTAGAGGAAAAGCTTTCAGGTTTTTCCCATTCACTATGATACTACCAGTGGGTCTGTGGTACATGGCTTTCTTTGTGTGTGGTATGTTCTTTCTATATGCAGGCTTTGATGGTTTTTATCATGAAGAGATGTTAAAGTTTATCAAATGGTTTTTCAGCATCAATTGAAATGATCATATGGTTTTTGTACTTCATTCTGTTGATACGATGTATCACATTGATTGATTTGTGTATGTTGAACCATTCTTACATTACTGCGATAGATCTCACTTGGTCCTGATGAAGGACCTTTTTAATGTGTTATTGAATTTGGTTTGCTAGTATTTTGTAGAGGATTTTTGCATCACTGTTGATCAGGGATATTGGCCCATAAATTCTTTTTTTTTTGATGAGTCTCTGTCTCTGCCTCGTTTTGGTATCAGGGTAATACTGGCCTTGTAGAATGAGTTTGGAAGTATTCCTTCATCCTCTATTTTTTTTTTTGAATAGTTTGGGTAGCATTGGTATTAGTTCTTTTTTAAATGTTTGATAAAATTTTACAATGAAGCCATCAGATCCTGAGTTTTTCTTTGATGGTAGACTTTTTAGTATAGCCTCTATTTTACTACTTGTTATTGGTCTGCTCAAGTTTTGAATTTCTTCATGGTTCATTCTTAGTAGGTTGTAATGTCAAGGAATTTATCCATTTCTTCTAGCTTACTCAATTTATTAGCATAGAGTAGCTCATGGTAGTCTCTAATGAGCCTTTGAATTTTTGCAATATCCATAGTAATGTCTCTATTTTATCTCTGATTTTCTTCGTTTGGGTCTCCTCTCCTTTTTATTAGTCTTGCTGGAGTTTTGGCAATTGTGTTTTTCTTTTCAATAAACTAACTTTTTATTCTGTTGTTTTCTTTTTTCATTTCAATTTCATTTATTTCTGATTTGATCTTTATTTTCTTTTCCTTCTACTAACTTTGGATTTGGTTTGCTCCTGGTCTTCTAGTTCTTTAAGATGCATCATTAGGTTGTGTATTTAAAGTTTTTTCTTTTTTTTAATGTTTGCCCTTATTACTGCAAACTTTCCTCCTAATGCTGCTTTCTCTGTACTCCATAGATTTTGTGTGTTGTGTTTTGATTTTCGTTTGTTTCAAGACATTTTAAAACTTTCTTTTTAATTTCTTCGTTGACTCAGTTGTCATTCAGGAACATATTGTTTAATTTTCATGTGTTTGTGTAATTTTCAAAGTTTCTCTTGTCATTGATTTCTAGTTTTATTCCATTGTGGCCAGAGAAGACACTTGATATAATCTTAATATTTTTAAATGTTAAAGCCTTTTTTTGTTGCTTAAAGTATGGCATATCTTTGAGAATGATTCTTGTGCTGAAGAGACTAATGTGGATTCTGTAGCCATTGAGTTAAGTGTTCTGTAAATTAGGTCTATTTTTATATAGTGAACATTCAGTCTGAGTTTTCTTTGTTGATTTTCTGCCTGGAAAATCTATCCAATGCTGAAAGTGAGGTGTTGGTCTTCGTCTATTATTGTACTGGGGTTTACCTCTCTCTTTAGCGCTAATAATATTTGCTTTGTATATCTGAGTGCTCCAGTTTTGGGTGAATATACATTTGCAATTGTTATATCCCCTTGCTGAATTGACACCTTTGTTATTTCTTTATCTCTTCTTACAGTTTTTGTCTTGAAATCTATTTTTTTCTAATATGTCTACTACTGCTCTCTTTTTGGTTTCCATTGCCATGTAATATCTTTTTCCCTCCCTTTATTTTCAGTCTATGTGTGTCTTTCTAGGTGAAGTGTGTTTCTTCTAGGCAACAGACCATTTGCTCTTGTTTTTTTTTAATTTAGTCATCTACTCTGTGTCATTTAATTGGAAAACTTAGTCTATTTATATTCAATATTAAGTAAAGACTTACTACTGCCATTTTGTTGTCTGTTTTCTGGTTGTTTTGTGATTCATTCTCTCCCTTCCTCCCTCTCTCCCTCCCTGCCTCCCTCCCTCCCTCCCTCCTTCCTTCCTTCTTTCCTTCTTTCCTTCCTTTCTTCCTTCCCATCTTTCTTTTTGTGAAGGTTATTTTCTATGGTGGTATTTTTAATTTCTTGATATATATGTTTGTGTATCCATTGTGGGTTTTAAATTTGAAGTTACCATGAGACTTGCAAGTAACATCTTATATTCCATTATTTTATACTATTGACAACACTGATTGCAAAAACAAACAAAAGACCAAACATGCAAGAGAAAGCTAGTAAAACTTTACACTTTAATTTCATCCTCTGCTTTTAAACATTTATTGGTTCTATTTATATTATGTGTATGTCTTGAAAAGTTATTGTAGTTATTATTTTTGATCAGTTCATTTTTTAGTCTTTCTACTCAATATATGAGTAATTTATACACCACAAATACAGTGTTGTACAAAACACCCATGTTTTTCTTTGTATTTAATATCATCAGTAAGTTTTGTAACTTCAGATGATTTCTTTTTGCTCAGTAAGTCCCTTTTCCTTCTGATTGAAGTACTCTCTTTAGCATTTCTTGTAGGACATGTCTGTGATGATGAAATCCCTCAGCTCTTGTTTTTCTGGGAAAGTCTTTATTTCTCTTTCATGTTTGAAGGACAATTCACTGGATATACTATAGATAAAGGTTTTTTTCCCCTTTGGCACTTTAAACATGTTATGCTACTCTCTCCTGGCCTGTAAGACTTCCACAGAAAAGCCTGCTGACAGATGTATTGGAGCTCCTTTTTATGTTATTTGCTTTTTCCTTTCTTTCTTTTTTCTTTTTCTTTCTTTTTTTTTTTTGCTGTTTTTAGAATTCTTTCTTTATTCTTGAACTTTGAGAGTTTGATTATTAAGTATCTTGAGATAGTCTTCTTTAGTTGTATCTGCTTCGTGTTCTATAACCTTCTTGTACTTTTCAATATTGATATGTTTCTCTATGTTTGGAAAGTTCTCTGTTAATATCCTTTTGAATGAAAGCTTTCTATCCCAAACTCTCTCTCTACATCCTCTTTAAGGCCAATAACTCTTAAATTTGCCCTTTTGAGGGTATTTTATAGATTTTGTAGGTGTGCTTCATTCTTTTCTTTTTTTTTTCTTCTTTTTCCTCTTACTCTGTATTTTAAATACCCTGTCTTTCAGCTCACTAATTTTTTCGTCTGCTTGATCACTTGTGTTGTTGAGAAACTCCTATGCATTCTTTAGTATATAAGTTGGATTTTTCAGCTGCAGAATTTCTGCTTGATTCTTTTTTTTTTATTATTATACTTTAAGTTTTAGGGTACATGTGCACAATGTGCAGGTTAGTTACATGTGTATACATGCTTGATTCTTTTAGGTTATTTTAATCTCTTTATTACAATTATCTGGTAGCATTTGAATTCCTTCTCTGCATTATGTTGAATTTTGTTGAGCTTCTTCAGAAAAGCTATTTTGAATTCTCTGTCTGAAAGGTCACATATCTCTGTCAGTCATGGTTTGGTCACTGGTGCCTTATTTAGTTTGATTTTTGAGTTCATGTGTTCCTGGATGGTCTTGATACTTGTGGATTGTTGGTGTTTGGGCATTGAGGAGTTAGATATTCATCGTAGTCTTCACAGTCTTGGCTGGTTTGTATCTGTCCTTCTTAGGAAGGTTTTCCAAATACTCAAAGGGAATTAATTGTTGTGATCTAAGTCTTTGTTCACTGCAGCCATATCTGCAATAGGAGGCACTCCAAGACCAGTCATGTTGTGACTCTTGCAGACTCTTAGAGTTAACCATCTTTGTTTTCTTGGATAAGATCAGGAAGAATTCTCTGGATTTCCAGGCAGAGACTTTTGTTTCTTTCCCTTACTTTCCTTCAAACAGAGTCTCTCTCTTCATGCTGAACTCCATGAAGCTGGGGAGGGGGTGACACAAGCATCGCCATGGCCATCACCATTGGGACTGTGCTAGGTCATACCTGAAGACAGTTCAGCACTGGGTTTCACCTAAAGCCCACAGTGACCACTGCCTTGCTACTGCTGATGTTCATTCAAGGCCCAAGTGCTGTACAATTTACAGCTGCTTATTCCAGCCAGCCTATTGTCCTTCCCTTCAGACCAGTGAGCTTCTCCCAAGCCCAAGCAGGTCTGTAAATGCCATCTGGAATCCAAGGCCTGGAATGTGGAAACTTAGGAATCTACTTGGCGCTCTGTTCTGCAACTGAGCTGACACCCAAACTCTAAGACAAAGTCCTTGTCACTCTTCCCTCTTCTTTCCTCAAATAGGAGTCTCTTCTCATAGCCACCACAGTAGGAATGTGCTGTGTCACACCTGAAGCCAGCATGGTGCTGGGTCTTACCCAAGGTTCACAGCGCATACTGCCTGCCTACCACTGACGTTTATTCAAGGCCCAGGGGCTCTTGGTCAGAAGATGATAAATCCTGCCAGGAGTGAGTACTTCCCTTCAAGGCAGTGTGCTCCATTCTGGCCCATGGTGTGTCCAGAAATGTCTGGGAGCTAGGCTCCAAAATGGGGGCTTAGGACTCTACCTGATGCTCTATTCTACTGTGGTTGAGCTATTATCTAAGTTCCAAGACAAAGTCTTCTTGCTCTCCCCTCTCCTCTCCTCAGGTGGAAGGAAGGAATCTCTCTCCGAGCTGTGAGCTACACTGCCTGGGGTTGAGGAAAGAGTAACACAGCACTCCCTTGACTGCCTAGCTGGTCTCTCACTGGGTTGCATGTACTCCAAGTCCACTGGCTCTGAATCCAGCATAGCACCAGGACTGCAGTCCTAGTGGCCTAGACTACCTTCAGGTTTATTTAGAATGCCAGAGAACTTTAGCCCACAGTGGTGGGACTAGCCAAAATTTAGATTCTGACTGCTAGGGTGGATGATTCCCCTCTGGCTAGGCTGGTCTAAATGCTTCCTCCATGGACGCCACCTGAATTCTGCCCTCTATTGCTTTCCTTGTGATAGGGTTGCACTGAACTCTAATGCAAAGTCCCAAGATCACTGTGCTCTCCTCCCGCAAGCATATACAGATTATCTCTCTGGGCCAAGAGGCTCCTGCTGGGGGATCAGGGAGTGGTGGTGTAGATAATGCAACACTGTCTTTCATACCCTCTTTAGTGCCTCTTTCCTTGATATGATGTTAAAACTAGGTACTCTGCTCACCTCATTTTTGATTCTTATAAAGGAGCTTTCTTATGTGGATAGTTATTCAGTTTGTTTTTTATTCTCGGGAGGATGATCACTGGAGGGTTCTATTTGACTGTCTTGCTCTGCCTTCTTTCAAGCTGATTCTTTCTCTCATGTCTGCTATCTGTGACTTGGGGGCTCCTTTGTGAGGCCTCTAGCTGCAACTCCCATACCAGGCTGGGTGTTTTCCCTGGCTGCCCATCCATACCAGCCAGCGGTCTTCTATACTCTATTGAATGCAGGCTCTGGCTGTAAAGTCGCCTAGCATCTTTAATGATATTCTCTTGGTCAACACTTTAATAGTCTGAGGTTGAGTTTCTTTCTTGTAGAGTTCATCTTTGGACCACAAGAGACCCACAGGCATCCTTAGTTATAATATCTTTCACTGTATTTGTTTTCTCAGGCTGCCATAACAAACTACCATAAACTGAATGGCTTAACTAACAGAAATTTATTTTCTCAATGCTTCTTGAAACTAGAAATCCATGATTAGGGCATTGGAAGTTTTACTTTTAATGGGGCCTCTCTCTTTGGCATGCAGATGGCTGCCTTCTTACTGTGCCCTCACATAGTTGTCCCCAGGTCTGTATTGACTGTGTCCTAATCTTTCCTTTTTATAAGGACACCAGTCAGATTAGATTAGAGCCCACCCATGAGACCTTATTTTACCTTAGTTACACCCCTCTAAAGGCTCTATGTTCAAATACAATTCTTATTCTGAGGTACTGAGGATTAAGACTTCAATTTATGAATTTAGGGGAACAGTATTCAACCTATATCACCCACATTATGACAGAATGTATTCCCAGAAACAGCACAACCCACCTTGGCTCCTCTGCCAGAGTGACTCACCTTCATCACTCTTACTACCTAGATGTCATGGGAAGGAATCTGACTCCAGATCACCAAGTCCTCCAAACTCCCAAGAGAGACAGCTGAAATGCTTCCAGTGATACCCATAAAGTCCTTCTTACTAAGCTTTAGGTGGAAGAAATAATGTTCTGTCTTGCTATGGGAGAGGAAATGGGACTAGCAGTTCTCATTCCAAAAATCCTCCTTATAAAATTCTCTCACCCCACTCTCATATTCTAAGCCTGTGATTTTCAACCTTAGGGATGCCATTGGGATTGAGCACCAATGCTCAGACCCTCAGAAGTACAACTGTGGTCTGGATCAAAAGCCTTACATTCCTGGAAGCTTGCTAGCAATGAAGACTCTCAGGTCCAGCATGAGACCTATTGAATCAGGTTCTACATTTAACAAGATCCTCAAGTGATATGTGTGCCCATTAAAATTTGAGAAGTTTGCTGTTATAGACTAGTGGTTCCTAAATTTTAGTGGACATCATAATCATCTGGACAGCTTTTTAAAACACAGAATGTTAGGCCCTATCTTCAGAGTTTTCAATTCAGTACATCTAGGATGGACCCTGATAATTTGCACTTCTAGTCAAATTTCATGGTGATGCTGATGCTACTAGTTTGGGAATCACTCTTTGAAACCACCATGTGTAGATACTACACTGTCCAATACTGCAGCCACTATGCACATGTTATAGTTATTTGAAATGTGCTTTGCATTGAGATGTGCTATAAGTAAAAAATATGCATCAGATTTCAAAAAGACAGTATGACAAGGCAGCATATCACATTTATGATTTTTTATTGATTATATGCTGAAAGGCTAGTATCTTA
Organism: Homo sapiens; assembly: GCF_000001405.40. NCBI lineage: Eukaryota > Metazoa > Chordata > Mammalia > Primates > Hominidae > Homo > Homo sapiens. Next base: position 88,983,677 of record NC_000007.14, read on the forward strand.
ATATTGTTGAGTTAAATAAAACATATTAAAATTAGTTTTACTTTTTAATTTTTATAATCTGAATACTAGAAAATATAAAATTATATATATGGTTCACATTATATTTCTGTTGATTGGCACCGTTCATCTTGATCTCCATTTGGCTCAGGGGTCCCTGAAGTGTGTCTAAAGCTGATTCTTGATCATTTACCTTGAAAATTTATTATTTGCTCTTGTATCTTACTTTAATATGCTATATCTGACAAATCTTGGCACCTCAGTGAAAATTCCAGTTTTAACATTCCAGGTTACATGTATAATATTTTGGATAATCTTCATCAAATCCATAAATAAGACATTATTATCTGCATTTCTCCAAATGAGAAACCTAAATGAAAATAACTTACCTAACTTTCTCTAACTAGCAAGTAAGATGCAAATATAGATTTGTCTGCCTTCCAAGTCCATGCTTTTCCAGTTAACCATGCAGCCTTCACTCTAGCACAGAGATATGTGGATGCTCGATCTTGTGAATTTTTTGAAAACTGTCTGCTTAAGTATGTATAACTGCACCTTTGTAGGAGTTTCATATAAAAGTAAATATATCTAGCAGCAGCTTAGTGTTTAACAAGACAATCATTTCTTCTTAATGGAGGAATTTAACTAGATTGCAAATGTTACCATCTTTAAGGATGGTGTAATCAAGTAATTGTGTTTTTGCATGTTTTTGTTTCTTTGTTTGTTGTTTACTTAGACTCTTGCCAACTCAGACTGTTCTCAGACCTGGGGCAGCACTGGCTATGTTATATTATTATTATATTTATAATAATTATTTAATGTAAGTATATTCATTCTGTGTAACTGGATGCTAACTTTGACTCTTTCCTCTTTGTTTGTGCCAGACTTCTGAATAGCCCTTTTTTCTCTGACTTTATGAGTGGTCCAGACACAAGTAATAGTGCAGTGCAATAGGGAGTATCAATGCAAAAATTCTTGAATTCTACATTCCAAGTTAGCTCTCCAGAGCAAATTGACTCAGGCCAAATACATTTTCTCTATGACACTTTCTATAACAAGGTAGGCAGTATATTTCCTAAGATATTAGATTGTTTCTTTTTAAACTTCTAATTAAATCACTTAGAAAACCATATTGCAGTTGTCCATTGTATGTCAATATCCCTGATTCAATGGTAATCTTGAGGACACAGATTGTATATTTTTTTTAATCTCCAGAGACATGTAGGCATGCAATAAATGGTCTGCCTTGGACTTACCTTACACTAAAACCCTTGACACTAGAAGTGGGTGATTTAAAAAGAAACAAATAAAAAGTAAAAAATAAATAACTCAGAGAAACTCTTTACCTTCATTCATAGTTTTCATTTGACTGTTCAAGAGGAATATCTAAGGTCTTATGATAGTAAAATTTTCTTATTCTTTAGAAAGTCTGACTGTATCTATTTTAGAAGCCCTATAGTCTATAGTAGTTTTTGATAACTATATGAATTAATGGATGAATGAATTTCCAAAAAATTATTGAAAACTGGATTTTTAAATTAACATGAGAGACCAGTAAACATTTGTGTTTGTTTAACCAAAAAAAAAAAAAAATTCTATTATCTTTGTCATTTTATGAAGGACATTCTAAAAACTAAAGTATAGAAAAGATATAATCTCAGAATAAAAATCAAATTTTGAAAACATAAATTTATTTTTATTTTAAAATTCAAGGCACTACCCTATCACATTCCATGGACTCTAGTTGTTAGTTGTCTGTGGACTATTAGGACAGAACCGCTTGTTTGAGATGCAAGGTCAGAGTGTAAAGGGTGTGAAGGGCGATGGGAGAGTCTCATGATTCCCTCTCCTTTGTGCGGCCTCTGTTCACTACACACAGCAGGAGTGCTTTCGTAGTCAGCTCACCTATTTGAGCTAGTTACCCTTTTATCTTTGGCTTAGTAAAACTGCCATTATAGAAAGAGGAAAAAGCCACAAACATTTAAGCTGTAAAACGTTAGCTCCTCCTTTAATGGAAAGATGTGAACCAACATACTTTGTATATAGGGCAAGGATCAGAGATACTGGAAGATTTTAACAGGCAGAGTAACCATAGACTTTTTGAAAGGAGAAAAGTGTTCTATAACCACCATGGGTCACCTGTTGATCATTCCTCATTAGTAAAGTCATTATGTACTTGCCAAGATTAACTGAATGGAAGCAGAAGTAAATTCAGATGTAGATAATACCATTACAGGAGGATATACTTTCTTCTAATAGGAACCAATAAACTCTCATAGTCTTTCAAAATGATTCGTCACATGCCTCAAATATTTGCACAAAACTGGAAACATAATTTGCAACTAATTATTTCTCTGGATGGATCCTCCATTTATAAAATGCTAGCAGGAGATCTGCAAATTCTGGCAAACATAAAGGCTTTGATGGCCATGAACTACATTAATATAATATTCAAAGCAACAAAGCCAAGACAGAATGACTAATTATCTAAATTTCTTCTGCTTTTCTCTAGTTCTATCCCAATAATTGTTTTCCAACATGATTTACTTCCTCTCATGCCTCACTGTATTTATTCTCATACTTCCAACCTCTTCAAAGCAAGATGGAGCTAGTGATGACTGATGATTTGTTACTTTTAACAATTATGAAATTTATTTCCTATCCCACAGCACAAAAAATACCTTGTCTATTTCCCTGCTTTTGCTGTTTAGTTTTTTATCCAGAGAAGCAAAACTGAATATCCTCCCAAAGTGCTTCATGCTCCTGCCAACACAGAAAAGTTAATACAGTTTTTAGGTCTAAAAATTAAAAATTAAAAACAGTCTTCTCTATCTAACACACTGGGATCTGGTAAAAATAAACTGTAGGAATCCTAGTGCACTGAGAAATGTCAGCACTCTTTCACTTTGCCTTCTCTTGTAGTGGGCTTTGTTCTCTGTTCCTGACCTCGTGCAATGCTGTCCTTTGTTTGGCGTGGCGCCTAGTTTACCTTTTACTTGATATAGCTTCTCTAGCAATCACCTTTGATTCACCAGAGATATAAATCTGCATTTGTCCTTATCATGGCCTATTTCTAGATCTTTGTGTATCTTCTTTCCTATTCCCAAACCTAGTCCTGGACCTTGGGACCTCATCCCAGGCCTCTTCCATCCTACAAAAGAAGAGTAAGCTCAGAGCTGAACAAAGTTGAACAAAGCTAAACTATTTGCCAAATAAAGTTGTTTTGTTTTGTTTTGTTTTGTTTTAACAGTACCTCATTTCCAAGTAAATCAATGTTTGAAGTAACAGTGATAATTTGAGATAACTTGAGTCATTTCTTTCTTTGGAGCCTGTTATTCAAAATTCTCTATCAAATAGCTCTATGTAATATAGTCTGATTTTGTTCTGCCTTTCCCATAAGGATGGCTACTTACTTGTCCCTCAACTACTTGATTATTACAATTGCATGAAATTTTATTCCTTACTAAGCTCTCTTCATCAAACAACCAAGCATACCCTCACCACAACATCCACATGACCTCAGCTATTTCTGAGTGAATACTGTAGAGCTTGATTTGTACAGTATTTATATTATTACACCATTGTGAGGAAAATTGTTAAAACCAAGATTTGTCTCCTGAACTGGACTCCAAGTACCAGAAAGAAAATAACTATGTCCCTTTGTCTCCAGATGGGTTAAAAACCCAGCACATTTCTGGATCCTTCCTGATAGGAACATAATAAACATTGAAGTCTGGCTTTGTAAAGAATCATTAGTCTTTCTTTGTAAAGAATCATTAGTCTCTCTTTTCATATTTACATTTTATTATGAGAACATATTTCTTTTTCCCCAGGAACTTAAAGTACTTTAATTTCTTTTGTAATTTCTTTAAGTATAGGCAGGGCAAGATAAAAACACTTTTTTTTTAAACAACACTAGTTAAATAGGCATTCCTTTTTCCAGTTTTTAATTTTTAGGAATAGATAATGATACATATATGTGAGGTACATTTGATATTTTGATACAAGCATACAATGTGTAACAAATAAGCCTGGGTAATTGGGATATCCATCACCCAAAGCATTTATCATTTATTTGGGTTGGGAACATTCCAAGTCTTCTCTTCTAGCTACTTTGAAAGAGATAATAAATTATTCTTAACAATAGTTGTCTTATTGTGCTACTGAATGCTGGATCTTATTCGTTGTAACTGTATTTTTGGACCCATTAACCAAACCTTCTTAATCCCCTCCTCCTCCCTTTTCTTCCCAGCCTCTGGTAACCATTGTTCTACTCTCTACATCCATAAAATCATCCCTCCTCCTTCCTTTTCTTCTCAGCCTCTAATAACCATTATTCTACTCTCTACATCCATAAAATAATTTTCTTTAGCTCCCATTTAAGAATGAGAACATGCGATATTTGTCCTTGTATGCCTGGCTTATGTCATTTAACATAATGTCCTCCAGTTCCATCCATGTTCTTATTAGTTTATTAAACAAAATTTGTTTGTAGCCTAATGAGTAAGAAAACACTAAAACACATTTTACCACCAAGAAAAATAAAAACGAAAAGGAGCTGTCTATATCATGAAAGTGTGGATTCACATACAAATAAATGAAGTATGTAGTAAAAAAAGTCACTAAGGGAAGATCAGAATTTTATTTTCTCTATTGAAAATGTGGAGACTTGGTTTCTGAGCATTATCATCTGACTTGTTTGTCAGCAAGAGAGAGATGTGCTGCTCTATTTTGCATATAATGACACTTGATCAGTTGATATATCATTGTGAAAAAGGCAAAGGGCATCATGCATTCACTGACGTATATACAGCATCAACAGGTGTTAATAACAACTATTGCAAATGCTTCATAGAATAACAAAAGGAGCATAGATCAGACAAGGAGTGTAGATGGTCTGCAACTGCTCTTTTGAGAAGGATTATGTCTAACACAAAGAATTATTTCATTACCACTTCCAGTACTCTTGAAAAACAACAACAAAAGAATGTGAGGTTTAGAGACTGATTGATTAAACCACTCTGAAAATGTGATTTTTAAAACTGCAGAAGAGGGGAATGACATAAGATGAAGAAGAGTATCTCTATAGGGAGAAGGAAGGTTAATATATGAGTAAGACTAAAGGAAACTTGGAGAAGTGAGAGAAGAACCTTTTAAAACGAATTCATGCAAGAAGGATTTATATAACTTGCTGTCTATGTAAACATGGCTAGCCCTCCCATTAAATCAGTGGGTTCCAACCTTAAATGTATCTTAAAATATCCAGGGGAAGATTTGCAAAATACTGATGCCCAGATCACACCCTCAGATATTCTGATTCAATTAAAATTTCCCAGGGTTTTATTTATTATTATTATTATTATTATTTGAGACGGAGTCTCACTCTGTCACTATGCTGGAGTGCAGTGGCATGATCTCGGCTCACTGCAACCTCTGCCTCCCGGGTTCAAGGGATTCTCCTGCCTCAGCCTCCCAAGTAGCTAGGACTTAATTTTTTGTATTTTAGTAGAGACGGGGTTTCACCATGTTGGCCAGGATGGTCTTGATCTCCTGACCTCGTGATCTGCCCACCTTGGCTTCCCAAAGTGCTGGGATTATTACCAGAGTTTTAAATTATCTCCAGGGTTGGCAACCATTTCAATATGTAATTTCAAAGGAGATTTTGTTTTGTTCATATTAGGAGAGACTAGTCCTCAGTCTTTATTCCTATAAGATAACAAAACACTGAGCCACGTTGGCATCTTTGCATCATAGTGCTTGTCCAACAGAGACACAAAACAACTATACCATTCTTCTAAAGCTAATCTCCTATTTCTCTCAAGGAATAGCCTGAGGTGTACTTCTGGTTGCTCTAACCAAAGGCCTCAGAATGCTCAGGCTTAGAGTTTCTACAAAAGAATGATAAGTAATGCAACTCCTCTTCTCCCCAGATGATTTTAGAATATAATCATCACCATAGTCAGATACCTCCATTGGCCATTTTCCCAATGATACCTAATGACATTCAGAGATAGCTTATAATTTTGCTCTTTTATGACAAGAAACCAAAGTAGCCCTGTCATGTACCATTATAAAAAACTACTAATTAATGACATGGCATCATGTATATTTTCAGTCTGAAGCCCAAATGAATCACTACGAAATCTAAAATTGACCTTCCCTCATTCTTTCTCATATTTTCCTCTCCCCTAATCTTCCCTCTGAGGAATGATAGTGTTATTTATATCATCTTTCTATCTATTTATCTACACACCTACCTACCTATTATTTATCCCTTCTATCTATAATTTTTTTCTTATGAAGACAACAAAGTTCATAATAGCAAATTTGGAAAATTCAGAAAAACAAAAAGAATATAAATCACCTATTGTGGTTCTAGCCAATGATAACTAATATTACTTAGTTGTCCATCTTGTTAGTAATTTAAAAATATTAGGATGATACTATGTATATAATTTTATATCATATACTTTTCATGTAACAAATATATAAAAATATTTTTCAATGTAATAAAAGCTTGATGCTTATAAGACTATCTACTGTAGAAATATAGTATACTTCTTGGGCACATCATGGGAAGCATTAGATTTAATTTTAATTACATAATTATTATGAATTATTTTAGGTCTTTGGGTATTTTTTAAAATAAGTGGATTGTATCCTTTTCCAAATTTAGTTTTAGAAACACTTGTACAGATACACACACATACTTTCTCTCTCTCTGGATATACAGATAAATAGATATCCATCACTGTTAAACTCTTTTTGCAGATTATCTCATTTAATCCTCCACCAATCCTTTGAGTTAAGCAGTTAAGCATTATTATTTTTACAGAGTAAAAAATAAAGGTTCAGATCAAATAAATTTCTAAAGATCAGGTTCCTCTGACGTTAATGTTCAAAACATTTTCACCACTCTACCATATTGTATCCCAGATATTACAGCTAAGGAAATTTATCTTGATTTTCTCCAACAGTTTCATATAAATATTTTGAAGCACAGAGTAAAGGTGAAGAATTTTCTAGTGAGAGTGAGCACTCCTATCCTTAATATCTATATTTTGCCATTAACACTTTTACTGTATGAGTTTTATCACATACCTTTGTTTCTACTCATCTTGATATCCATCCATTTATCTATATTATTTTTATGTGTATCAGTCCTTAATTTTTGAGCCCTATTATACCACTGCCTAAACTAAGCAATGGCTATGATAAATATATTTTGGCTGTTTTAGTTTTGTTTCTTTTTTAACATTTTGTTCTTTGGTCATAGGTAGGAATGATCAAACCCAAATAATATTAAAGATCTAGAAAATCACAAAGTTATTTTGCATCAGTATCACCAGTCATTGATCTTCTAGGAATAGAAAAATTAAGAAATACTATACTGGGTGAAGTCAAAAATCTGCTTAAAAACACTGGGGTTGAAAATGTAGTCATTCTACTACTTTTAGGTACAGAGGAAACAATTTTTTGAAGCTATTTAACACTGATTTGATTTTCCTCATGATTTTAGTCAGATCCCAGAAGGCAGTGCCACTGCTAGTCCTCATGATGCTTTTATGTATGTTTGAAAAAGTATCCCTGCCTCAAGATATTGATTTCCCTCTGTCGGAAAATTGTCATTATGAAGGTACAAGCCTGCAATGTGAACATAGCCCGTCAGGTTGTGGTTCCTGTGTAGTACACAACCACTGCTGCTGACTTCAGAGATCCTCCGGGAGGTTCCTATAGTGGATTCAGTGGATGATGTATATGCCCTGCTGGGCTTGACTCTGTGACGCTCTGGAGGGGATCCTTCCCGTGAGCCTGCTGCTTAGGTACCTGGCTTTGCCCCAGCAGCTCCTCTGGTGAGCTTCTGAGCTGTGTTCTTCAACCAGTTTCTCAGAAAATCCAGGAATCTAACCTACAACATGAGAATGAACAATGGCTCAAGGGGCTACTCTCTGCCTGTGGGGTAGCCCTCCTCTGCTGGAGCAGTCATAGAGCAGTAATAGAGCAGTAACACTGCCACTTCAGTAAAGCTGTTTTCTTCTACCCTACCACTAACTTGTCCTTCAGTTCTTTCCTGTGCAAAGCCAAGAAAAAAACAAAGTGGGTCAATGAAGCTACATGCCAGAGCCTTGTACCTCAACATTTCACATTATGAGGCTTACATATGATATAGCTACTACCATGAGGTCTTTCATTCAATGGCCTGAAACATAGAGCTGAACACACAGAATCTCTTGAGATAATTTTCTAAAATGAGGCAAAAAATTACAATATTGGCATTTCTCTTTCTCTACGTTTATTTCCCTCCTTTGCTGTACTCTTCCACAATTCTCAGGTATCATAAAGCCTTGGCTATTCTTTTACTTCTTCTATATCAGCTCTTTCTTCTTTCTGAGTCTGGTTGCAGATTAAACCTGAGGATGACAGTGATGAGGAAAAGTTTAATGTGAGAATTAGCCATTGACGGCTTAAATGGTGCTAAAGAATCTTAGAAAATCTTCAGTCTCTCTCTCTTCCAAAAGTGTGGTTTAAGGCAGATTATGTTGCTTTAAAGTCCTATTTTGCATACCAAAATTAAATATTAACTCTCCTTTTTCTCTTTACATTGCTTGTCAATTTCTCCTACCTTTCTTTATACCTTGGACTAAAGAGAAAGTCATGTGCTTGTTTAAATTTCCATGCAGGTTTAAATAAGCTACCCATCTAGATTACATTATTATGGTTGCTTAACAAATCACTGTGCCACAAATTTAGTGGCATACAAGAACACCCAGTTATTATCTCATAGTTCTATAGACCAAAAATCAGTGTGGGTTCAACTGGGTTTTCTACTCAGGATGTCATAAGATATCATCTGGGCTGGCCTTAAGCGGGGGCTATGGTTAAAAAATCTACTTTCAAGCTCATTTTAGAGAAAATGACTTTTAAATGGCTGGTGTGATTAGATTACACTCAGTGGGATAATCTGCCTTTTCATTAACTCAAAGTCAACTGATTAGTAACTTTAAGTACATCTACAAAATCTTTTTGTTACATAAAGTAATATAATCAAGGTGTGATATCTCATTATATTCACAGTCCCAGATATTAGGATACAGAATCTTGGTGGACCACTTTTAGAATTCTGCCTAAAATAATTTCTTATTTTAAATCAGAAAGCTAACTCTTGGGATTTCTGTAACTCTTTGTGTATAGTAATCAAAATAGTCCTTCTCAGAGTTCACAGTTACCTGTGAGGAGATTATTCTAGTGATAAAATTGAATTTATGCTTTTTTAACTTTTATTTTAAAAATAAGAATTTTTTATTTGTTGTATTTAATTATGAGTGATATTACAAAGATCACATATTTTATTAAAAGAAAAAAGCAGCACAACATAAGAAAATGGCCAAACTACTTATAAAATACTAGCTTTTAAATATTTACTTTTTTGGTATTCTTTATATATATGCTTTATCCATTATGAAATCTGGCATATAATTCTAATGCATTTAAAATATAGAAAACATACTGATTTTATTTCTTTGGAATATTGTTATATCCATTAGGAAGAAGGTATGAAAGAAATAACACTATATTTTGTGTAATTTGTTTATTCATTATTCCAAACATCACTTGGACCACCTTCTTCTGAGAATGTTGAAGTCTAGAAAATTTAAGCCAGATTATGTTGACGTTTTACCAAATCCTTGAGGAGCAGAATAATGTTTTGCAAAGTGAGGATAAGACTACATTGACATTTGATGACAAAAAACTTATGAGAAATAAAAAAGTAAATTTAGAACTAGTGAAATAAATACCTTGTTTATTCACTACTTGGCTTACATAATTTAATGAACAGAAAAAAGGTCAATGACCCAAAAAGAATAGTTCCTATCTGCACTGAACAAATGCTAGAATTATCCTCTTCCAATTACTTTCTACAAAGCTTACTATCCAACGTCCCAAGCAGTGCTAACGAACAAAGAAACCAGAATTAAGCATTCGTTTATTTAAAATATGTGAAAATTCATGTACATGCCAAAACATCTATGTATTGTATAGACATAACTACAGGATCTCACTAGAGGATTTTGAGAAAAGCAATGATATTATTGGATTAAGGCTCTGCTATATTTATTTAAAATATTTATTTGATTTATTCTTATTATAAAACTGGTCAGTGTGTATTCTGAACAATAGGAAAAAAGATAGAAAATTTGAAAGAAACAAGTGATTATACAGGCTCTCTCCCAAAATATTTTACTGTGACTATAATATTAGATGTGTTTATTCTAGACTTTCTAAGCAGGTTTTTCAGTTTTGATCATATATGTATAGGCTGATGTATTCACTTAATATTGTAACAAGTATTTTTCTATGTTATTACAATCTCTTCATAAAATCAGTTTTTCCTTATTGATTCTTCATCTTACATACATTTTATAATAAATATTATCTCACACTTAATTTTCTCTGTGCTTGAGTGAATGTCTTTGTATCTGAGTGATTTAATTCTTTCATCATATGCTAACTCTTCTTCATTAATTTTTTTTATTCAGCTGCCTCTTGCCTAATGCTTTCAGTTCTAGAAATCATTGAGATATGCTATGGCACAGGTTGTTTATGTAAAATTGAGTGACAATGTTTTTATAAAATAGTTTTCCCATTTATTTTTGCAAAAGCTCTTTTGTACTCATTAAACATGCAAAGATGATGGATATGCATTTATTTATGTACCTTTGACAGATTGAAACATGCAAGTGACAGTGTTTTTCAGCTATTTCATGACACAATCAATTTGATTCCAGAAAACAAATGCCAAAAACTGATGAATTCTTAGCGAAAATTTAGGTTAGTGATTTTTAACTTTTTCACTGTAGCCTTTGGCTACTTAAGTCACTAATTGCTTCAACAAAGATAATACTATTATATATATTCAGGTTATATCCAACTCAAGTTTACACTTCAGTAGTCTTTCATAAAAGCTATCCTATCTTTAATACCATCTTTTCGGAATAATGATTCTGTTTAGAGATTTTCCCTACTTTGTTGGTTCATCATAGATTTGATGCTACAGTTTCTCAACAACATACATTAAATTGGAGTTTGCCTTCTTTTAATCACATTTATTTATTTTTTATCTTATTCATTAATCTAATTGGGTCATGTATGAGAAGTTTATAAAAACAACTTATCCTCTTCATCAATTTCCTCTGGATTCATTTTGCATAGAGAGGAAATCAACCATAAAAATTAATTCCAGAGTATATACCAGCTTCCGGAATTGGAGTTGCATCAACACACACATAAGAAACATCAGATGGTCTGGGCTAGATTGTTTGATTTTGTTGTTATGTCATTGGCTTTGTTTTAGTTCCTGGAAAAAAATGAATAAGGGATGACTACTCCTTTAAGAGCTTCAGATTTTCAGAGGTCCTTGCATATCGCCTGCCTATCTATTGCCATGGTTCTGTTCTCCCTGTGCACATCACTGATAAGCAGGAGCAGACTGGATGAGAGAGGGATAGAGGTGTTGTAGGAGGAAGGCTCTTTGATTTGCAAGTAGAAAAATAGATAGGTCAAGGATGAGAGTAAGTTGGTAGAAAGTTGAACCTATATCAGAAAACCAAAAACGTGTAAGTAGCTATGAAACTTAAGTGATAAACAATATATATGATATTAGCAGAGCATATAATAGATATACTTACTAATTGACAAGATTTTAATTTTATCAAATTATATTTCAAGGACATATCTAGGAAACCCTTAGGTGTAGAAATTCCAACAAAAATGATGTATGGTATTATTTCACTATCATAAAAGTATGCATCTGACTCAAGATTGGTTTTGTACAAATCAGGCACATTGTACATTTCTTCCCCTAGGCCATCCTTTCCCTAAATCCCAAGCATTCTCACCTCCAGTTGGACTGAAGGTGTCAATTCCTGGCTAGAGTCTGGTTTTATGACTTATGTTATAGAACATAACTCCTCACTCTTTAAGGGGGAGATGTGCTTCGTGACCTCCTTCCAAAGAGTGCTGTATGGAAATGTGGGAAAGAGTAACTTCACAGTAGAGAAACCTGAAAAACACCACCCGATCAAAGTGAGAAAGTTGAGCATTAGTAGTGATAAATTATGTCTATAATATATGCCTTTGTTATGTTGTTATGAGAATTTTTACCTCTGTTGTCCTCCTCCCCAAACTTTATAACCCTAGCTTAATCATGAGAAAAACATGAGACAATTCTCAGTTGAATGACATTCTGCAAAATACCTGACCAATACTCAAAGCTGTGAAGGTCATTAAAAACAAGGCAAGTCTGAGAAATTGTCAGACCTTAGAGGATCTAAGAAGCCATGGCAGCTAAACATAGTGTGGCATTGTAGATGGGATCCTGGAACAAAAACAGAAATTAAATAAAATCTAAGGAAAGCTGCACGAAGTATGGACTTCAGTAGATAATTTGTATATCAATATTGATTCATTAATTTCATTGCAAATGTACTCTACTAATATAATATTAAAAATAGGAGATAAAGGAAAATTTCTCTAACTGTAGATTGTAGGCATTTTAAAAGACAGTGCCTTGCACTTCCTTTCTCTATTTTCTGCATAGAAATAGTGACCCTATGTTATATATTTCTGCCTAAAATAACTTGTACCATACAAAGTTAAATGTTTAATTCTTTCAGAAGAACGTTGCATTAATTTCTACCCAACTACTCCATTGTTCTTCTCTTATGTTCTTGTTTACCGGCTCTTGATTGCAATTCTTCCTTATATTCAGTGCTGTTGGAGTATCCCTCTGACACATCTTAATGAACAGATTTATGGTTGTCTATCTTTCTCAAGAGGTTATCAGCTTTTAACTTTGTCTTTACCATGTGTACTTGAATCTTGAATCATTGTGGTTTTGGATGATAACTCTGAATGCAAGATTCTGAAATAATACAGTTTAAACCAAACAATTTAAATTGGCAAGTGTTTAAACTCTGTGCTAAAGAGTGATTATCACATGCTGTTTACTTTAAAGCTATATAGAGCTTTGTCTTATACATGAATTAAAGCATTTATAAAACAAAATAAATTAGAAAACAGTGAATCAGAAGTACTTGACTAAAAGCAGCAAAGTAGCCTCAGAAGGAATCTGAACAAACTTGACCTAGTGAGGTATAAAGTACAAAGATGGTTGAAATTGAGCCAGGAGTGAAGCCCTACCTACCAGGACATTTAGGTTGGAAGATGTCCATATCTGGAGTTTCCTTCCATCAGACTCAACAGATGGACACGGTAAAAGTTATGTGCGCATGGTGTGTATGAGAGTATGTGTATGTGTGTGTGTATAAACTGGACATGCTGTAGCATGTAAAAATTGAATTACTTCTTAGAAATATTTGCATAATGCTTTTAAGGCAATATGTTTAACTGATACACACTTGGAATGGTGAAAGTGTGAATTAGGGACACTGTTCCAAACTATGAATAAAGTGGTGGTTTCACCCAGCACTAGATCCAGATTTGGGAGACACCTTGAGAATTATCTAATCAGTCATTAAGTTAACATCTTTTTTTTAGAGTTTGTTGTCATTTATTTAAAGTGGTTACCTCATTTTGTAGTTATCATTACATCCAGACAATAAGGGATGTGGTTGAATTTCAAAAGTTTTCTAACTTAACAAGTCTTATTTTGTTAGATTATCCTCACTTAGGTCTTCATATAAATTTGTAACTATTTCTTCTGAAGACATGGAGTTTTATTTAAACTACTGTATTTTTGTTTTATCATAGAACAACAGAATTCTTATTACAGAAGTTGAAAATTTTTAATCACTATTGGATATTAACTGAAGTTCTGTTTCTAATCATAATGATACATTTAAGTGCCTACATGTGGCATACATTTCTAGATTCTTTGAGTAAAACATTTGTATGACATCAACATCTGTATTGCCATCAGGAGTGTCATTTCTACTGGCAGGGGCAGCCACCTGGAAACCTGAAGGAATCATCTACCCAGAAAAAGTGATAGGGCATATCTGTGGTACTAATTTTTGCTTTATTTCTATTGTTCACAGATTGGCTTATACAGCCATTTATTCATTTAGAAGTTTTCTCTGCTAAGGCACCTTCCTCTCCTATCGCACCACTCAAAATTTGGCCCATCTTTCGGAACTCAGTTGAAATGCCATTTTGCCATTAAGTTGATTGAAATCCTCTCAAATATTTATGATCTATCCCTTTTCAGAATGCTAGTAACTTTTTTACTCTTTTGACATTCTCTTATGTTGTGTCTTGAATGACAGTTGTTCCTGTACAGATCTTAGCACTCTTATTAGCCTACCACGCCTGGAAAGGGCTGTCTGCCCCTTTGTCATCCTTGGCCTCATCTGACACACGACACTATGCCCTCCATGTGATGTCACTGCCTGTCACCTTATGTTTCTATCCTGCGTTGTATACTCACGTTCTTCCATCTCACTTCCCTGCTGTCTCCTGTCTTTCTTTAGAACTACATTTTCCTCTGGTCCTCCTTCTTTGAGCATGTATTATTTTTAATATGCTCCCCATCCATATAATCCTGGCTAGCCTCTACTCACTTCTTAACCACAACGCTCATCACTTTAAGGGAAGATATCTTAAACTGAGAGGGTTTGGAATAAAGTGGGGAAGTGGGATTTGTCAAACAGAATGAAAGCATGCATGCAGGTGACAGTCCTGAATGTGCATAAATGACATTGGAAGAAAGCAGAAAGACACTGGATGGAAATGTGCAAATGAAAGAAGATTCCATGGATTGGGAGAGCAGAGAAGTGAGAAATCATCCTTAAGTGATGTTCAAGAAGAACAGAGGAGATGATATTATCTCCAAATTTACCTGATCATAAGAAGTATCTTACCAACGTGTTAAGATGTAGATTCCTGAGACCCGCCACAGTCTAGCAAATTATAATCCCTTGAGACAGCCTGCAAATCTGATTTTAAGAAGCTTCTCAGTGATCCCTATGATATGAATTTTGAGAAAACCTGGAGAAATTGATGGTAATGTCACAGAAACATAAAATGTTAAGAGAACTGGGGATGGAGTAGGGATAGGAGGTGGGACAATTTCTTCCTCTTACAATACGGGATAATTGGGCCAAAAGCAGGGGTGCAGGGCAGAGTCCTAATGCACAAAGTGCTTTGGCCTCCTTAATGAGCCTGCATTAACTCTGCCAGCTGAAAATATTTCTCAGTAAAATAGGGCAAAAGGCTTTTACAATAAGATTACTAAGATTTTGTTAAGTGTGTTTGACCATTAAGGGAAAAATGTGAAAAGTTGTGAGATATTTTCTACTCCTGAAACAATCATTTCCTATTAGCATTTTAGTCATAAGTTTACTTCACTAGCTCTTATGTTCTTAGTTTCTTCAACCTACTGCAGAAGAACTGAAAACATTATTAGAGTAACATGATATGATGAAATCATGAGATTTCAATCAGTTTTACAACAGAGCTGAAAGGTGATGTTTTAGAGACTGTCAAATTATTTTCAGAGACTCACACTAGACTATTTCTTACTGAAAATATTTAAATACAGCAGAATTTAACTCAAAGTTCTATAAAAAGTACATTTTATAATATTGGTATTAAAATGTCTTATATCAGTACTATATAAAATTGCTGTTTTTGTTTCAGTCTGAAGACTAGTATAGTTAGTGAGGATGTTAAAACTTGACAAGAATTACATAATTCTTACAGATTTAAATTGATTTCTTTCAACTGGACTTATGCACTGGACTTTTCAAAGAGAAAAGTATGAACAAGGGCAAATTCATATTTAAAGGGAACTTTTCATTAAACACTTTGTAGTCTACTCTGTCATTTTTCCTCCAATGAGGAATTCTATCTTTCGTTCAGTGCACACAAAAATTAATTGTAATCAGCATTTTTGTTGCCTAATGTCTCATGTAGTTAAATTTTTTCTTAAATAAAAAATAAATAGTAATTTGAAATTTAAAATAGCATTTTATGGAGAACAGAGTATTAATGAGCCAGCATGTAAAAATATTTTTTCATTTTACAAGAAGCTTATTTAATTTTTAATATTCAATTCCAAAAAATACAAAGGGATAAGCAGAAGCAAAGTTTGGCTGTGTGTATTTTATAAGTCACTTACTAAATAAAACATTTATTTCCAGATATTTTCTTTAGCCACATATTAATATTCAACCTAGCCTAGTCCCTTTGAAAATTGTTAACAACTAGATTCCTTATTTCATGTCCTAGTGATATGTAACAGTAAAATGTGATTTTTACTCAATGCATAAGTGAGAGATCCTTTGTTTATTTAATATTTTCATCATTTCCTTGAGTAAAAATGATAAATATATTATTTACCAAGAAAAGATAAAAAGTTCTAGCTGACTCTTGGCATGACATAGACTGTGTGATACAATCCAGTTGTCTCATGAGGAATCAAAGAAGCCTAGAGATCTGTTACAGTTGTTACTAAATATCCTTTAACTGGTTCTGTCCTAATTCAAAGTATTTTCATGTACTGCATGACACAAACAAACAAGGTAGAGAATTTTTCTGAATGTAATACAAAAGTCAGGGTGTCTCATTTGAGGAAAGATGCACTGTTAGCATTTATTTTATCTTTAAGCAAGGTAATAATTTATAATTATGACTGATTCACATATAATCTGCAGCAATAACAAATCATTAAGCAATGAATTGTGAAAGGTAATGTCCTAGTAATTTGGTTATTTCAGTACATCAGGTGTTTACTTATTCATTTTAACTGTTTCCCAAATTTTGATATAGTTGTCAAATAAAACCAAATGATTGTAAGGTATACAAGGTGATGATTTGATATACATATATTTCGTGAATTAATCAAATTAGTTTACATGTTTTGCCTCACTGTGCTGTATATTAGATCCCCTGAACATATTTATCTTCCAACTGAAAGTTTGTACTCTTTGACCATCTCCCTTTTTTTCCTGCTCACTGCCTCTGATAGCCACCATTCTACTGTCTGTTTCAATGAGTATAACGTGTTTAGATTCCACATTTAAGTGAGATCATGCAGTATTTGTCTTTCTCTGTATGACTTATTTCACTTAGGACAGTGCCTTCACATTTCACTCATGTTGTTGCAAATGGCAAGATTTCTTTCTTTTTTATGGCATCATATATATGACATTTATATATATAGAGAGATATCATATATGATATATATTATATGCCACAATATATATTCATATATAGAATAATATATCTAATATAATATATGTATAGTGATCCAAAAGATAGGTCCAAATTTTATATAATCATATAATAAATGTACAATCTATAATTATATATAATGTATAGTATAATATAATATATAATATTATATATATTATTCAGGGGTGGGGATGGGGTTGGAATGATGTTGGTCAAAGATACACAATTTCAGATAGCAGGAGTAAGTTTAAGAACTCTATTGTACAACATGGTGACTATATTATATTATACAATATATATATTATATTCTAGAAAATGCCAAGAAAGTGGATGTAAAGTGTTCTCACCACAAAAGGAACCATGGGAGATAATGCACATGCTAATTAGCTATATTTATTCTTACTGAAAAAATAACTGTGAAGTAACATATATGTTAGTTAGCTATATTTAGTCATTTCACAATGAATATATTCTTTTTTTTCCTTTCCTTTTCTTTTTTTTTTAAAAGCTAAATGAAAGATTTTATTAGTCTTGGGAAAAAAGACAGAAACACAATAAAAACTTCTCTAGTATGAACATGTGCAAGTTTCACAATCATGCTATTACATTTTGCACTGGCAGACAGTTCAAGGCGTAGTTATCTGTCAGCCTGTGTCAGATAGCTTGGTAGCCAGCAGCAGTCTTTTGAAAACACAACCAATAAAAATACCAGATCTAAGCCCAAGGCTAAACTGACACAGAGGTCTTCTGAAACCAAATTATGGTAGAAAATATGAAGATGAGGCTTTGATAATTCAAAGCAAGACTCACCATTATAAAACTGTATGATGATTAGGGCTAAATAGTTACTTTCATTTAAATAAAAATATTAATACACTGTTATGTCAGATAATCTTATAGTATTGAGAATTGAAATGCCTGTCATGTACATGATGAAGATATATGTAATGGAATAAATTTGTAGGGTTTTTTGGGCATTTTGAAAGTGTATTTTGTATTATTATTGTCCTTTTCTTATCACAATAAATATATTCTTAAAAGCATCATGTTATACAGAATACATACAATTTTGTCAATTAAAAATTTTTAAATTAAATTAAATATTTTAAAACATAAAAATCAAATGACCCTTAGATGTTGAAACAATGAATCATAAATGCCCAACTCATTTAATCAAAACCACTTTTTTGTAATGTATTATATATTTAGATATATAAAATGTGTGAGTAATATTATAACACATATATTTTTAACATTGAGATCAAAAACTAAAACACTGTTAAACTAATAAAAAGTACAAATACAGTAATATATTTAAATTTAAAGAACTTTTAAGCAACTATTGGATGAAAGATTTGTGAGTACAATTTATAGATGGGCACTAATGTTTGCATTTAGTGCTTAATTTAGTTAAGCTAGAAATAAAATATAGATTTATTGATACTCACATTGAAAAATAGTTAAAAATTTTTGAGAAATTCACATACAAAACCTAATCCTTTAAACCTCATATATTTTCCCACAATAACATGCTTGCATTTTTCTTGCTTTTCTTATTATTGAATATTGACTATGTTTAGGTCCTGTTTTAAGCAGTTTACATGCAGTGTATGTTGTCTCATTTATCTATAACAAGCCAATTAAATAGATAGCAATTTTCATGGAAATACTGTCTAAATGACAAAAGTTATGTTATGAAAGGTGGCATTCTTTTTTATAACTACTAGAGAAGGGGGTGGAATGTAGTCATTTTATCTACTATCATGTTATTTACCTCTAATTGACAATTTTCACAGATTTAAAAGCCCTTATATGGTATTTAAGGACTTAAATCAGCTATAGTCTTCTTATCTCATGTTGAATAGTATCTTCAAGCTGGCTCTATAAATAATAAGTGAATGGATGAGAAAAAAAGGAAGTGAACCAAATATGTTAATGGAAAAAATGTTAACAAAAAATAGAGGATTAATGAATTCAACAACTCTTAAAAATCAACTGTTCAAACTACTTTCTATGTAAGTACAATTTGAGTCTATTGTGATAGAGAAGTAAACTCAATTCTTGAATGTGATTTCAGTATAACTCTGAAGGAGTCTGCAATGGTGATTAAAGGCAGTTATTGCACAAGGTTACCAATTACATTTGTTTTCACACAGCTATATACTTTTTTTTTTTTTCAAAATCCTTACCAATTTTCAGAGGAAAGGGTTACGGTAAGCTAATGTACCACTAGATCCCTTTCAGTTTCATTTTCAGAGTGATAGTAATTGTTTCATATGTGGGAAGGTTTTCTGAGACTATAATAGTACATGCGTGATTTTGTGTGATTTATTCAGAGGCTCATCAGCTTCTTTAGGAGGCAGCAATGTAACAGTTCTCCAGAGGAGACAGTGCCATAGTGAAATATGGGACTAAGGCACTGCAGATTTAGCCCAGACCCTTGACTCTGAAAAGTCAGAATAATACATTTAGTTGTTTTGCTGGACATTGTGTAAATATTTTGGAAGAGTGTGCTTTATTTTGCTAAGTTCAGAATGCACAGTGGGATAATGTGTGATCTGGAACTTGCCCAATGTATGTAAGAGCTGAGGCACATCAACAGAGAGGAGATATTGGCAAACCTTTTACTTGCAGTTCCTAGAAACTGAAGAGCTATGTAACCAGAATATAGAATTACTTTCAATCATAATATTTTAGTATGAGAATGAGTCATTTAGCATCAACTCTTTCAATTTATTGATGAAGAAACTAAGGCTCAAAGAAATTAAGTGACTTGCTGGAAATTATTACTAAATGGATGCCAGAATCAGAATGAAATCAAAATGTTCAGATTCAAAGCCAAGTGCTCTTCTGAGTGCCTCGTGCTGCCTCTTACATTAGACTACTTCTGACCCACAGATTACATTCAATTTTTCGACTTATAAATAGTGTTCTCTTTTCATAGCCACAACATGAATCATACAGGTGAAAACCCATGCCTTTATGGTACCACTTCCTTTATTATGTCAATTATGTTTAAAAGTGGTAAAATCTAGCCTGTTTGTGAGTGCCATAGTTTCAGGAAGAGTAGTTTTGTATAGGCATTCTTAAAACAAACTTTCATGCATAATTGTTTATTTAAATTAAAAAGTATGTAACAAAAAGAGAGGAGTTTTGCAGTATAATGTGAAAATGTGATCCTGAATGAGCAAAAAAAAAAAAAAAAAAGGGAAATTACAGCAGGTCAGATTTTATTTTTATTGTGGGCAAGGACTGGTGGACTTGGCACTGGTAATATCTGGTTAGAGATTTTAAAATGTATTCAAAAAAGCAAATCAATGAAAATTAAACAATCTATAAATAATACTTAGCCATCATAATTAAAACAGCTACCATTATAAGACAGACCTATATAAGAAAGGGTGATTTTTTTTTTGTTTCCCATCTGACTTTGGCTATATCTTTTCAGAAAATACTTTGTAAACTTTGGAATCTCATGAATAATTTAGTTATTCATATAAAGTATGATCATAAAAATTAAGAGGATGCATATAGAACAGTTGAATTACTTACACAGGGAATGTGACTTTATTTTATGAAGCTGTGGGTCTTGTTGATTTAAATAGTTTCTGGGGTTTTTTTTGTTCCTGGTTGAAAGATTATGTTGTATTATGTTAGGCTATAATTGTGTTATTCATAGGAATGAATTGTATAATTATAGTGTGGTGACGGCATGCAGGTAACCATGACTACTACTGTTCTTCCATCAATTTTTGCTTCTTTATGCAGTGGTGAATATTTTTAGTGGTTCTATTATTTGCTCTTTTAAAACTTAGAACCAAAATTATAAGTCATCTCTATTAAAAAAAAGTCTTGCATAATTTTACAGGGTCCTCCTTTTAGATACTTAGGTATGGAATATCAAAAAGGAAGCTCATGGAAAGAGATTTCTAATTTAAACAAAAATGTGTATCAGTGGGGCCACCATCTTCATTTTTCTGACTGTAATATTTGCATTTCTGGACATTTTTTTCTAGCCTTCTTCTCTGTGTAATCATTAATTCTTGGCTATATTTTGTGTATCAGATTTCTGAAAACTTCCTCTTCTGTTTCATTCACACAAACACTATTATTGTTTAGGCCTTCACCACTCATACTTGGATTATTAAAGTACCATTCTGAGTGGCCTTCATTTTATTCTTAACAGTATCTATCCTGGGCTTCATCTTTTCTTACTAATCCTTTTGGCTTGACTGCATTCTAAAGTAATATAAAACTCACAAAAACTCATCACAAAACTGTTCCAAAGCTAAACATTTATTCTTTCAGAGACTGTAGATCTCAAAGTGAATATAAAAATATTTATTCTGTAAGGAGCATTATTTTCTTTACAGACACTCCAACTGATGGGTTACAAGGTTACAAAGCACTGAGTGTCAGAAGCCTTGGAGGCTTTTTAGGCTACATAGCAGTGTATATCACAGAGAACATCACAGATTTTGTTGTTGTTGTTGTTCCTTTTATAGTTATGAAGTCTACTGCAAGCAGAATCACAAGGTCAAGGTCAAAGGTTATAGAACATTTTTAATACTACTGTGTATGTAGATGGAAATACAAATAAGTTATAGCTGCTAATTTTGATGCACCAATTTTTTATTCTCTGGTAACATAAATTACTTGAGATAATAAAATTATTCATTATTGAAACTTCATATTGAGGTAAAATTATTCTGTTATTGCAGTTGTAGAATGTTCCCTTCATTACATGAAAACTACTCTTACAAATCCTAGATCCACTTATTGACTCTGATAGCAGAGTTATGACAAAATCTGATAATCAATAGTTATAGCAAATAGCTCAGTCTTTACTTGCATATCTCAAAAAGCAGAAGTGTTTCCAAACACAACACTAATAAAATTCTCTTTCCTTCTCACCTCTGTCATTACATTGCAGACCTTCCACACTCCTTAGAAACTTATTCTTTCACCAGCTCTAAGTGATTTTTCTCCTTTTCTACACCAGATTCTTTATTATGTAAACATAAGTGGCAGTTCTCTACAAGACATAATTAGTCTTTAATTTACAGAAGAAAGGAGAAGATGGGACTAGATACTCTGGCTGGATGGAAAAGGTGTGGATATCTATGAACAATCTCCAGTTAATTCTTTTCAATCACAAAAATAATGGTTTTTGTAATTAGATTTTTGAAAACAATTTTTATGGGAATATATATATCATGCAACAGTATAGCTGACTGTGCTGGAATTTGGTAACAAAACCTTTACATTTAAACAGGTCTCAAAGCAAGGGCATTTTTTTTCTAGGTAAAATAATGGCTTTTATTTTCACTACAAAATCCTTTTTAATCTCTCAGATTATAATCCAGAGACATCTCAATTGTCTTCCTCCATTAAAAAAATCTTTTAGACCAATATTTTCCCTCTGCTTAATTCCATGTATTTGGAAGGTAATAACAATATCGTGCCTCTTATCATAGATGGGAGAATTTATCAATCCATTTTTAAAACACCTCATATTTTATCTGTTCACAATTGTAAAGGCATTCAGAAGAATGTGCAGTGACATTATACAAACCAGTCTTGAAACCTCATTTATATCATGCATTGTGAAGAATGATTATGTTTTGTTTGTCTGATTTTCAATCTTGTATGGAGTAAAACTTTGAAAAATATAACAAAAATTAGATAAAATAATAGTTATTATATTTATCATATTAATAATTTAAAGTATAGCACAATTGATGTGGTTAGATGCCATGGCCATATTAAAGTTTTTAAAGCTACTTTCAATGTCAGTACATATTCACTTAAGAGGTAAGACATAGTTCTAATAAATAGTTCTCTCACCAGCAAACACTGTTAACAGAGACTTCACAAGGAGGCATATTTTCAGGAGAGGCTTCTCCAGACTATTCAACTCACCTGAGCTCCTCTGCAAATGTAGATTAATTTTTTTTTCTTAACTGATCACATTATTATTTTCTTAGGGTGCTAACAATGTCACCACAGGCCATTGAGCACTTCTTTGTGGACTGACAGAAGGTGTTCCTTCTTCATGACAGGGTCAATACTGCACTGGGCAGGTGGCTTGACCAGCAGATGAAGTGCGTGTTGGCCTCCATCGTCTTCCAACTGTGTGCTTCTGGGCTGGGACACGACCTTCAGCACTATATGCAGCAGCTGTCTTACCTGGTCCCTCTTTCTGATTTCAATGCCTAAGTTTCCTTTAATTCATTCTCAGCCTCCACTGCAGAGGAAAGCTTGGCAGTCTTTGGGCACAAGAAGTTGCATATAATGGATGAGGAATGACGTTTTAAAATTAGATTTCATAAAGAATCTAGAGGAGGCATCTCTTACTACCTACGCTAAATGAGATTCCATCTCTTAATTACATTTTACAAAACATAAGAGGCATTTTACAAAATGTTTACAAAGTGTATCTTCTCGTTAAGCTAGTTTATGTTTCTATTTAATCCAGCTCACAAGGTTAGGGTGAGTATAGGATTGGGTTTTCCGGGTTCAGGAAACACTTCAAAGGAAATCATACTTTGAACATGTTATCTAAAGTTATCCATGATTTTATATATATATATATATATATATATATATATATATATATGTCAACCTAATATAATACATATAATTATATATAATATAATATATCTATTATAATTATATATAATATATATTTATCTATTATAATTATATATAATATATATTTATATATTATAATTATATATGATTATATATATTTATAAATATATATATTTTTGTAAAAAGCTTTGAAGTATTTATAAAAAGCAGCTGTATAGAAGCAAATAATTATTCACTGTCTTATGTTGACAGCATGGAACAAAAGGCAAAATCATGACTCATGAAACTATAAGGTGAATATATGTCAAATCTTTTATTTAACTCATTAATTAATAAGAGATTCAGTAAAATCTTAGGACCAGCTCAAAGGAAACATTTAAAGAACATAGGCTTCCATTAAGTGGAAATAAGTTTGTTAATATATGCAAAATTAGTTAATAACCTATAAAGTAATAAAATGTCAGTTTTCTAGAAAAGGAAAACCAATTATATCTCAATTTATCAGATGTAATTTATTTGCATTTCTATGAACAATAATTATTCTCATGACAATCAGTCTTGTGCAAGTTAACTTCTACTTTTACATTAGTCTAGATAATAGAAAATCGGTTAAAGTTATTCATCCCTATTGAATTAGATAATCCCCAGATAGTCTATCAGACAGCTTCTACCACTTTGTTGAAATGATGCCCAGTAATTTCATTTGCTGATTTCCAAATCTTAGACATTTTTCTTGACACACCCAAATATATTGCATCAGACAACCAGTCTCTAAAGTTAAAAAAAAATCACAGTTTCTATGTATTTTTTCATTACACAAAAAACCAAACAGATTCTTGAAGTCCTACTCTGAATCATATAAAGTTAATCTGTGAGCACCCAAAAAAAACAGACTATCCTCAGTATGCTCGCCATTTCACTGAGAATTTCATTGATGAGCCTTGTTTTCTCCACAGATACTACATCTGCCCATGCTACTAAGTCTCAGATCAATTCTGAGAAAGACAAAGAGCTGTATTGATCTAACAAACACATATTATTGCCACACATTTCTTACCAGGTCTTTCCTGATGCTTATAACATTCCCCCAACACTGTCCCTCAATCACTCACTGATTCCAGCACAGTTCATGCAGCTGGTGGCAGACTTGGTTCTCTCTCATTAGCTTCCAATATCTCCCACTCTCCACATTCTCACCATTATGAGAATACCTTACCCCTACTTAAGAAGAAATATTGAGACCATCTGGCATGATATCCCGCCTTTATTCCCATCTTTCACTCAGAGCACTGCTCATAGAATCCTACCAAAAAGGAAAAGCTTTCCTTTCACTTTCAAGTAGACCCTTACACTCTATCTGCTCCCATCTCCTTGAATGTAGCCCATGTTTAGCCCCTCTGTCTTAAGTAACTTTCATTTTTCTTTTCCAGTGATGTTTTCCTTGTTACCCTTGAACATGTTCAGGTTTCTCTCATGCTCGACATTTTTACCTAGATTAGCTACCCTTCTCACTGTGATACAGGGTCATATACCTGCCAGACTCCTGGATCATGAGTATCCTAATTTGCTGCTTCCACAAGGTACTTGCCCATTTTATCATTAAATTTCTGGATTTGAGGTCCACATTTGCTTGACATGTGACTAAAATTCTGTTTTCAAAGGTTATCCTTTGGTCTCAGAATTCTTCTGCAATTTTTGACATTTTGATTTTCACTTTTCTTCTTTTATCTATAACACAGCACTTTCTTGGTTCTCTGACTTCTTTATCACTTTCTTAATCTATTTACTAAAACATTTATCTGTTATCCTTTATTCTTGATTTCTAATCATTCTCAATATGTGATCCATAGTCATAATTTCATTGTTTCAATTATTGAATCAAATATATGTATCCACTCTCAATCTTCTCAATTTCAATCACATAATTCCATTTGCTCACAAGATAAATATTTTCTTAGGGAAATTTAATACCTGTCAAATTGAAAACACTATATATCTTGACAATGGAGCTTCTTTCGTGTCAACCTAATTTTAATTGATGTGCAATGGACTGAATGTTTATGTGTCCCCTCAAGTTCAAATTTGAAATCTTAACCCCCAGAGTGATGGTATTAGGAGAAGGTGGGGCATTTGAAAAGTGATGAGGGCATGAAGGCAGAGCTTTTATGAGTTAGATCAGTGCCCTTATAAAAGAGGCCTCAAAGAGATCCCTAATCTCTTCCACCATGTGAGGACACAGGGAGAAGATGCTGTTTATGAACCAGAAAGTGGGACCTCATCAAACACCAAATCTACTGGCAACTTCCTCTTGGACTTCCCAGCCTCCAGAACTGTGAACTGTGAGAAATAAATGTCTGTTGTTAATAAGCCACAGTGTTATACTATTCTATGGTGTTTTGTTATAGAAGCTGAAATGAACTAAGGCAGTGTTAACACATCTTTCCAAATCCCATGGGAGAGAAGAATGTCTTTTAATTCCCTATACACATTTTTACTAAATCTCATTTTCCATTATTTCCTCAGCTCTAAATCTATCACCAAATTCTTTTATTAAGTTTATATTTACTATTTTTTATATCTATTATTGTATATACATATGTTATTTCCCATCTAGATTATAAGCCACCTAAACAAAAGGACTGTTTCTCTTATCTTTTCTTGGACCTTTGGAACAATTACTGAATAATAAAAGATAATAATACTAATAATACATTGCGAAGCCTTACCTTTTTCAAGTGACATTAACATTTATTTTTAAATTTAATTTCATAACTGACACTCAGAGAAGTCAAAGAGGCATTGCTATAGGATTCACAGCCTATAAGGGACAGAAACGGAACCAGGAATTGTTTCTAGGATACTTCTTCATTACAGTATTGATTAAGTGGCTGGTCAACAAAATGATATAAAGTGGGGAAAAAAGTAACCCATATTTACCCGTTAAAGTTGATTGTTACTCATTCTTAGTAGAGAGGTTCTCTCTTTCTCTCTGTCTCTTTTACTTCTGGTATTTAGGTAACATGAAATTTCCTTGGAGGGTTCCTAAAGCAAGTAAAAATTTAGAAACTTGAGAAGCTTCCATACTAACTGGGTAACAACAATTTGCTCACTGAAAATAGTTTCAATAAAAGCACTTAATGGGTTTTTTTGCACTACTCAGAAAGGCAAATCTTTCTGTATTATTTACTTTGTTTTCCCACCCAAAACAATAAAAGTAGATATTTTTGATGTAAAGAGTTACATGTTGTAAAGCTCTCTCTTTTAAGGGCTGCATTTCTTTTCTACCATTATAAAGCAAACATTATTTTGTGTTTCAAACCAGAATCTAAGGCTGTGGAAAAGTCAGATAAAATTTAGTGTTTCAAATGTTATGTTGGAACATGTTTCTCCTATAAAATCCTAGAGTTTGATTGCTGTGTTCCTACACAGGAAAAGTCCACAATGTTCTGTTGTAAAGAGTTAATTTATTATTGGGCAAAAGTTTTTGATTGACTCCAAATAAAATTATGTATTAGTCCATTCTCATGCTGCTATGAAGAAATACCAGAGACTGGGTAATTTGTAAAGAAAAGAGATTCAATTGACTCAGAGTTCTCCATGGCTGGGGAGGCCTCAGGAAACTTACAATCATGGCAGAAGGCACCTCTTCACATGGTGGCAGGAGGGAGAATGAGTGGAGAATGAGTGCAAGCAGGGGAAATGTCAGACACTTATAGAACTATCAGATCTTGTGAGACTCACCCATTATCATGCTAACAGCATGGGGAAAACCCTTCCCATGATCCAATTACCTCCACCTGGTCCTGCCCTTGACACATGGGAATCATTACAATTCAAGATGAGGTTTGGGTGGGGACACAGAGCCAAACCATATCATTCTGCCCCTGGCACCTTCCATATCTCATGTCCTCACATTTCAAAACACAATGGTGCCCTACAAACAGTACCCGAAAGTCTTAACTTATTCCAGCATTAACCCAAAAGTCCAGGTTAAATGTCTCATCTGAGACAAGGAAGTCTTTTCCACCTATGAACCTGTAAAATCAAAAGCAAGTTAGTTGCTTCCTAGATACAATAGAGATACAGGCATTGGGTAAATACAGCTGTTCCAAATGGGAGCAATTGGCTAAAATAAAGGGCTACAGATTCCATGCAACTCCACAACCCAATAGGGCAGTCAGTAAACCTTAAAGTTCCAAAATGATCTCCTTTGACTTCATGTCTCTCATGCAGGTCACACTGATGAAATAAGTGGGCTCCTATGGCCTTGGGGAGCTCTGCCCCTATGTCTTTGAGAGTACAGCCCCCCTCGCAGCTTTTATGGGCTGGCTTTGACTGTCTGTAGCTTTACTAGGTGCACAGTGCAAGCTGTTGGTGGATCTATTGTTTTGGGATCTGGATTATGGTGGGCCTCTTCGCACAGCTCCACTCAGTAGTGCTCCAGTGGGGACACTGTGGGGGATCAAACCCTACATTTTCCCTCTGCAGTGCCCTAGAAGAGGTTCTCAATGAGGGCTCTACCCCTGCAGCAAACTTCTGACTGAATATCCAAGCATTTCCGTACATCCTCTGAAAGCTAGGCAGTGGCTCCCAAACCTCAATTCTTGACTTCTGTGTACTCACACTTTCAATAACATGTTTAAGCCACCGAAGTTTGGGGCTTGCGCTCTCTGAGGCAATGGCCTGAGCTGTACCTTGACCCTTCTAGCCATGGCTGGGACACAGGACACCAAGTCCTAAGACTGCATAAAGCTGAAAGGCCCTGGGCCCTGGCCACAAAACCATTTTTTCCTCCTAATCATCAGGGCCTGTGATAGGAGGGGCTGCCGTGAAGACTTCTGCCGTGCCACAGAGACATTTTCCCCATTGTCTTGGTGATCAACATTTGGCCTCTCATCACTCATGCAAATTTCTGCAGACTGCTTGAATTTCTCCTCAGAAAATGGATTTTTCTTTTCTATTGCATCATTAGGCTACAAATTTTCCAAAGTTTTATGCTCTGCTTTCCTTTTAAACATTCCAAGCCATCTCACTCAAGTTCAAAATTCCATAAATCTCTAGTACAGGGGCAAGAGGCCATCAGTCTTTTTGCTAAAGCATAACAAGGGTGACCTTTGCTCCACTTCCCAAGAAGTTCCTCATTGTCTTCTTGAGACCACCTCATCCTGAACTTCATTGTCCATATCACTATCAGCGTTTTGGTCAAAGCCATTCAACAAGTCTCTAGGAAGTTCCAAACTTTCCCATATTTTCTTGTCTTATTCTGAGCCCTCTAAACTGTTCAAACCTCTGCCTGTTACCCAGTTCTGAAGTCACTTCCACATTTTTGGGTATTTTTACAGCCAACGCCCCACTACTCCCAGTACCAATTTTCTGTATTAATCTGTTCTCATGCTGCTATGAATAAATACGCAAGACTGGGTAATTTATAAAGAAAAGAGGTTTAATTGATTCACAGTTCCTTATGGCTGGGTAGCCCTCAGGAAACTTAACAATCATGGCAGAAGGCACATCTTCCCAGGATGGCAGGAGAGAGAATGAATGCAAGCAGGGGAAATGCCAGACACTTATAAAACCATCAGATCTCATGAGACTCACTCATCATCATGATGACACCATAGGGGAACCGCCCCCAAGATCCAATTACCTCCACCTGGTCCTGCCCTTGACACATGGAAATTATTACAATTCAAGGTGAGATTTGGGTAGGGACACAGAGCCAAACCATATCAAGTTATTTCAATATTTTGTCCTGAAAGTGGTAAGATTTTATCAGAGAAAGGTAATTTTAAATAAGCCATGCTCCTGCGAGCAGTTAAGAGAGAAGAAACATATGAGAATTAGAAAGCTAGTACTCACTATAAAAAAAAATCTAGTTAATGAATATACTTCACTTAAAAATGAGATATTGAATCTACCAGCATGATCTCTAATTTTGGCCTGATGGTGGAAAGGTAACTTCTATATACAATGAGAATCTATTTATGTAGAACATACCTTCCTTTCTGCAATTAAGTTGGGATATCTGAGATTCTTTATTTTTATTTTTTAATTGACACATAATAATTGTGCATATTTATGGGGCACATAGTGATGTTTTGATACATGCAATGTATAGTGATTAAAACAGGTTAATATTCACAGCATCTCAAACATTTATCATTTCTTTGTAGGGGGAACATTCAATATTCTCTCTTTAGCTATTTGAAATTATATATAATTGATAACTCTAGTCTAGACCGTTAGAACGTAGTTCTCCTAACTAGCTGTAATTTTGTGTCCTTTGACAAATCTCTCCCTTTCTCCTCCTTTCTCCTACCCTTTCCAGCCTTTAGTAATCTCTGTTCTACTCTTTACTTCTATACAATCAACTCTTTTAGGTTCCACATATGAATGAGAACATACACCGTTTAACTTTCTGTTACCAGCTTATTTTATTTAACAACCGCAGGGTCATTTATGTCACTGCGAGTGACAGGTTTCATTCCTTTTTAAGAGTTAAGCACTTGAGTTGACTAAGTATCTTGGCATTATGAATACTGCTGCAATAAATATGGGGGTGCAGATATGTCTTTGATATTTTTATTGCCTTCCTTTGGATAAATACTTAGTAGTGGAATTGTTGAATCATATGGTAGTTCTATTTGTAGTTTTTTAGGAGCCTCTATACTGTTCTTTATAGTGGCTATAATAGTTTACATTCCCACCCACAGTGTATAAGAGTTTCCTACTCTCTGCACCCTCACCAACATTAATTTTTTTTCTTTTTGATAATAGCCATTCTAACTGTGGTCAGATGATATCTCACTGTGATTTTGATTTACGTTTCCCTGATGATTAGTGATTGAACTTTGTTTTTGTTGTTTTTTTAGATGGAGTCTCACTCTGTTGCCCAGGCTGGAGTGCAGTGGTGTGGTGTGATGTTGGCTCACTGCAAGCTCCGCCTCCTGGGTTCATGCCATTCTCCTGCCTCAGCCTCCCGAGTTGCTGAGACTACAGGCGCCCGCTGCGACGCCTGGCTAATTTTTTGTATTTTTAGTAGAGACGGGGTTTCACCGTGTTAGCCAGAATGGTTTTGATCTCCTGACCTTGTGATCCACCCGCCTTGGCCTCCCAAAGTGCTGGGATTACAGGTGTGAGCCACCGCGCCCAGCGATTGAACTTTTGAAAAATATATTTCTTGGCCATTTGTATGTCTCTGAGAAATGTCTGTTCAGATCATTTGCCCATTTTAAAATCAAATTGTTTATTTGCTGTTGAGATGTTTGATATCCTTGTATATTCTAGATGTTAATGTTCATCAGAAGAATAGTTTGCAAACATTTTCTCCCATTTCATAGGTTGGCTTTCCACTCTGTTAATTGTTTGCTTTGTTGTGCAGAAGTTTTGTTGCTTGATATAATCACACTTGTTTTTGTTTTTATCACCTGTTCTTCTGAGACCTTATTCATAAAACCTTTTCCCAGACCGATGTTCTGAAGCATTTCCCCTATGTTTTCCCCTAGTAGTCTTACAGTATGGGGATTTACATTTAGATCTTTAACCCATTTTGAGTTGATTTTTTGCATAAAGTAAGAAATGGAGGTCTGCTTTCATTCTTCTGCATATAGATATCAAGTGTTCCCAGAACAACTTAAGAGGGTGTACTTTCCTTAGTGGATATACTTGACACCTTTGTCAAAAGTTAGTTGGCTGCAGCTATGTGAATTACTTCCTGGGTTCTTTATTTTGTTCCATTAATCTTTGTTTCTGTTTTTATGCCAGTATCATTCTGTTTTGGTTCACATAACTTGGTAGTATATTTTGAAATCTGGTAATGTGATGACTGTAGCTTTGTTTCTTTTTTCTTTTTTTTTAATTATTTTATTTTTATTTTATTTAATTATTATTATACTTTAAGATTTTAGGGTACATGGGCACAATGTGCAGGTTAGTTACATATGTATACATGTGCTATGCTGGTGTGCTGCACCCATTAACTCGTCATTTAGCATTAGGTATATCTCTTAAAGCTATCCCTCCCCGCTCCCCCCACCCCACAACAGTCCCCAGAGTGTAATGTTCCCCTTCCTGTGTCCATGTGTTCTCATTGTTCAATTCCCACCTATGAGTGAGAACATGCAGTGTTTGGTTTTTTGTCCTTGCGATAGTTTACTGAGAATGATGATTTCCAATTTCATCCATGTCCCTACAAAGGACATGAACTCATCATTTTTTATGGCTGCATAGTATTCCATGGTGTATATGTGTCACATTTTCTTAATCCAGTCTATCATTGTTGGACATTTGGGTTGGTTCCAAGTCTTTGCTATTGTGAATAGTGCCGCAATAAACATACGTGTGCATGTGTCTTCATAGCAGCATGATTTATAGTCCTTTGGGTATACACCCAGTAATGGGATGGCTGGGTCAAATGGTATTTCTAGTTCTAGATCCCTGAGGAATCGCCACACTGACTTCCACAATGGTTGAACTAGTTTACAGTCCCACCAACAGTGTAAAAGTGTTCCTATTTCTCCACATCCTCTCCAGCACCTGTTGTTTCCTGGCTTTGTAATGATTGCCATTCTAACTGGTGTGAGATGGTATCTCATTGTGGTTTTGATTTGCATTTCTCTGATAGCCAGTGATGGTGAGCATTTTTTCATGTGTTTTTTGGCTGCATAAATGTCTTCTTTTGAGAAGTGTCTGTTCATGTCCTTTGCCTACTTTTTGATGGGGTTGTTTGTTTTTTTCTTGTAAATTTGTTTGAGTTCATTGTAGATTCTGGATATTAGCGCTTTGTCAGATGAGTAGGTTGCAAAAATTTTCTCCCATTTTGTAGGTTGCCTGTTCACTCTGCTGGTAGTTTCTTTTGCTGTGCAGAAGCTCTTTAGTTTAATTAGATCCCATTTGTCAATTTTGGCTTTTGTTGCCATTGCTTTTGGTGTTTTAGACATGAAGTCCTTGCCCATGCCTATGTCCTGAATGGTAATGCCTAGGTTTTCTTCTAGGGTTTTTATGGTTTTAGGTCTAACGTTTAAGTCTTTAATCCATCTTGAATTAATTTTTATATAAGGTGTAAGGAAGGGATCCAGTTTCAGCTTTCTACATATGGCTAGCCAGTTTTGCCGGCACCATTTATTAAATAGGGAATCCTTTCCCCATTGCTTGTTTTTCTCAGGTTTGTCAAAGATCAGATAGTTGTAGATATGTGGCATTATTTCTGAGGGCTCTGTTCTGTTCCATTGATTTATATGTCTGTTTTGGTACCAGTACCATGCTGTTTTGGTTACTGTAGCCTTGTAGTATAGTTTGAAGTCAGGTAGTGTGATGCCTCCAGCTTTGTTCTTTTAGCTTAGATTGACTTGGCGATGCGGGCTCCTTTTTGGTTCCGTATGAACTTTAAAGTAATATTTTCCAATTCTGTGAAGAAAGTCATTGGTAGCTTGATGGGGATGGCATTGAATCTATAAATTACCTTGGCATTATGGCCGTTTTCACGATATTGATTCTTCCTACCCATGAGCATGGAATGTTCTTTCATTTGTTTGTGTCCTCTTTTATTTCATTGAGCTGTGGTTTGTAGTTCTCCTTGAAGAGGTCCTTCACATCCCTTGTAAGTTAGATTCCTAGGTATTTTATTCTCTTTGAAGCAATTGTGAATGGGAGTTCACTCATGATTTGGCTCTCTGTTTGTCTGCTATTGGTGTATAAGAATGCTTGTGATTTTTGTACATTGATATTGTATCGTGAGACTTTGCTGAAGTTGCTTATCAGCGTAAGGAGATTTTGGGCTGAGACAATGGGGTTTTCTAGATATACAGTCATGTCATCTGCAAACAGGGACAATTTGACTTCCTCTTTTCCTAATTGAATACACTTTATTTCCTTCTCCTGCCTTACTGCCCTGGCCAGAACTTCCAACACTATGTTGAATAGGAGTGTTGAGAGAGGGCATCCCTGTCTTGTGCCAGTTTTCAAAGGGAATGCTTCCAGTTTTTGCCCATTCAGTATGATATTGGCTATGTTTGTCATCAGAATTGCTTTGGCTATTTGGGATTTTTATGATTCCACATGGAGTTGAGGATTATTTATTTTTCTTTTTCTGTGAAGAATATCATTGGTATTTTAATAGAGATTAGATTGAATCTGTAGATAGCTTTGGATAGTATGGCCATTTTATCGTTAATAATTTTTCTAGTCCATAAACATGGGATGTCTTTCTGTTATTTTTGTGTGTTCATCAATTTCTTTCATCAGTGTTGTATCATTTTTCTTATAGAGATTGATCACCTTCTTGGTTAAATTTGTTCCTAGGTAATTTTTGTAGCCATTTTAAATGGGATTTCTTTTTTCAGTTTTTATTTCAGCTAGTTCCTTGTTTGTGTATAGAAATTATGTTGATTTTTGTTGGTTGATTTTTTTCTTCTGCAATTTTGCTGACTCTGTTCATTAGTTCTAAAAGTTTTTGGGAAGAGCCTTTAGATTTTTCTATGCATAAGATTGTGTCATCAGCCAAGAGGAACAAGCTGACTTCTTCCTTTTTAGTTGGGATGCCCTTTATTTTATTATCTTGCCTAATTGTTCGAGCTAGGATTTTCAGTATTGTGTTTAATAAAAGGAATGAAAGTGGGCATTCTTCGCATGTTCGATATATTAGAGGACAGGCTTTCCGTTTTTCCCTATACAGTATGATGCTAGCTGTGGGTTCATCATACATGAACTTTATTGTTTTGAGGTATGTTCCTTCTATATCCAGTTTGTTGAGAATTTTTGTTATAAACAGATTTTAATGTTATCAAATGTTTCTGCATCTATTGAGAAGATCATATGATTTTACTCTTTTATTCTGTTGATGTGATGTATCATATTTATTGATTTGCATATCTTGTACCATTTTTGTGTTCCTTGAGTAAATCTCACTAGATCATGGTTTGTGATCTCTTTGACATGTTTTTGAATTCAATTTGCTAATATTTTGTTGAGGATTGCATCCATGCTCTTCAGGAATATTGGTCTGTAGTTTTTATGGAGTTTTTTTGTAGTTATTATGTCCTTATTGGATTTTGGTATCAGAGTTTTGCTGGCCTTGCACAATTAGCTTGGAAGAATTCCTTCCCCTTCAATTTTTGGAATCGTTTGAGAAGAATTGTTATTAGTTTTTCAAAATTTTGATAGAATTCAGCAGTGAAGCTGGACTGTGCTGGAATGGTTTTTGTTATTGACTCAGTCTTCTTAGTATTGGTCTGTTCATATTTTCTATTTCTCCTTGGTTCAATCTTGGTAGGTTGTATATGTCCAGAAATTTACTTTTTCTCTAGGTTGTTCAATTTGTTGGATACAGTTGTTCATTAGAATCTCTAATAACCTCTTGCACTCCTGTTCTATCAGTTGTAATGTCTCCTGTTTTATTCCTGACCTTATTTATGTGTGTCTTCTCTCTTTTTAGTCTAGCTAATGGTTTATTGAATTTGTTTATCTTTCAAAAAAGCTAACTTTTTGTTTCATTGATCTTTTCTATTTTGTTAGTCTCAGTTTTGTTTAGTTCTTTTCTGAGCCTTCTCATTTCATTCTACCAGTTTTCGGTTTGCTTTATTCTTGCTTTTCTAGTTCTTTAGGGAGCATTGTTAGTTTGTTTGTTTGAAGCTTTTCTACTTTATTGATGCAGGCATTTATTGCTATAAACTTGCCTCTTACTACTGCTTTTGCTGCATCCCATAAGTTTTGGTGTGCTGTGTTTTTATTTTAATTTGTTTCAATAATTTTTTAAATTTCCTTCTCAGTTTCTTCCTTAATGCATTGGATGTTCAGGAACATGTTGCTTAATTTTTATGTATGCATATTTTCAGATATTCCTCTTGGTATAGATTTTTAGTTTTATTCTATTGTGGTCTAAAACATACTTGATGTTATTTCAGTTTTTGAAAACTTTTTGAGATGTGTTTTGTATTCTAACATATGGTCAAATGTGAAGAATGTTCCATACACTGATGAAAATAATGTTTTCTGCAGCTGTTGGTTGAAATGTTTTGTAAATATCTATTAAGTCCATCTGGTCTATCGTGCACTGTAACTTTGATGTTTCTTTGTGGATTTTCTGTATAGATGAGCTATCCAATTCTGAAAGTTGTGGGTGGGTTGAAGTTCCTATTACTGTTTTGTGGCACAACCATCTCTTTAGATCCAGTAGTATTTACCTTATAAATCTGGACCCTCCAATGTTAGATACATATATAATTATTATATCCTCTTACTGAATTGATCCCTTATTTATTATACAATGTCCTTTTTGTTTCTTTTTACAATTTTTGACTTAGTCTGTTTTAGTATAGCTACTTTTGCTCTTCTTTGGTTTCTATTTGTGTGAAATATGTTTTTCCATAACTTCACTTTATATGTTTCTATACAGGTGAGCTGAGTTTCATGTAGACAGTATATAATTGGGTCTTATTTATTCAGCCAGTGGATATTTTTGATTGTGGAAATATAATCAATTTATACCCAAGGATATTATTAATATGTGAACACTTACTACTGTTTTTTATTCTTTTCTCATCATTTCGCTTCATATTTTCTCTCTTATTGTTTATTTTTGAAGTTTGATGGTTTTTAGTAGTTATAAGTTGTGACAATGCAGCCACCCATGTGGGCTTGCTGTAATAAAGATAGAACCTTTCTCTTTCTTTTTTGTACATAAGCAATATTAGTGAGTTTCATAATTTAGTGTGTTTTCATGATGATATTTACTGTCTTTTTGCTTCCAGATGCAGGACTCTCTTAAGCATTTCTTGTAAGGCCAATCTAGTGATGATAAATTCTTTTAGTTTTTCCTTGCCAGGAAAATAATTTATTTCTTATTCATTTCTAAAGTGTAGCTTTGCTGGGTGTAGTGTTCTTCACTTTCAATTTTTTGTCTGTTTGTTTTAGTATTTTGAATATATTATTCCGTTCTCACCTGACCTTTAAGATTTCTGCTGAGAAATCTGTTAGTGTAATGGGGATTTTCTTATATGTGATTTGATGCTTTTCTCTTGCTGTTTTTAGAATTATTTGTTTATCTTTGACTTCTGTCAATTAGACTATAATCTGTCTCAGAGAGGGTCTGTTTGGCTTAAATCTATTTTGTAATCCTTGAGCTTTCTGGATGTGGATATACACCTTTCCCAAGACTTGGAAGTTTTCAGCTATTATTTCATTTAATAGGTTTTCTATACCTTTTCACTTATTTTCTTGTTTAGGAATTCCCATAATGTGCATATTTGTTTGCTTAATGGTGTCCCATAAATCCTGTAGGCTTTCTTTGTTTTTTATTCTTTTATGTTGTATATTTTAATTTTGCTCATTGAATTCTTCAGCTGTAAGTGTTTTGGGTTATTTTTATGATGTCTATTTCTTGGCTTAATTTCTCTTTCAAAACATGAATTGTTTCCCTGACTTCATTTAATTATCTATATTATATCGCACTGAATTTCCTTAAGATTATTATTTTGACATTTTTTTCCTGGCATTTCATCTATATCCTGATGATTATTATCTGTTACTAGAAAATTACTGTGTTCTTTTGGATACGTAATATTTTCCTGCTTTTTAATATCTGAGGCATCCCTACACTGATATCTATACATGTGGTAGAATAGTCATCTTTTCCAGTTTTATGGAGTTGGGTTCATAGAGAAAGACTTATTTCTATAGATGGTCTTAGAATATCAGTTGAATGAGGTGCACGGGCTTTGATTCTAGGTGGATGCAGTAGTGCAGTCTTTGTACATTTTCTTCAGCAGCAATCCATTTTAGTGATGTTTTCAAATGTCTCAGTGGCCTGGGCTGAATATATGGTGGCAATGCTGTGGCTTTGCAGGAGGTGAACTCACAGGACTATGTCTCAGGCCAAGGGTACAAACATGAACATGATGGATCAGCCAACTGAGGGTGTGATTCACTATGGTTGGGGTGCAGGGTGGTTACTCTGGCTAGGGCCACTGTTGCTTGGTTGTCTCAAGGGTGTGTCCACTGGGCTGTTTCTCAAGCCCTAGATATGGGCACAAGGCCACTCCTGCCAACCTGATTGTGTGTCTGCTGATGGTGGGCATGCCAAACTGTTTGTCACACTCTGGGCACAGGTACATCACTGCTAGGCCAGTCTGGTGGCATGTTTGCTGGAGGTGGCCTGTCAGGTTGTTTCTCAGGCCCTGGGTGCAGTTGCAGTGGGTGCTGGTTTCTCTGCTGTGTAGGACAGGAGTCAGTCAATCCTAAACCTAGGTTTTGAGTAGCCAGAGTTGCGACAACACAGCCACCCATGTGGGCTTGCTGGAATGAAGATACAGCCCCAGTGCTGGGGAGGTAAAGTGGCTACTGGCTCCCAGAGCATAGTGCTCTCTAGAAGTAGGTCCAGTCTTAAGATTGTACCATGTTGCAGTGGCTTGGGACACAAAGGGTCAGTAGGGAATGGGGAATTCACACCTTGTTCTCCTAATCAGTAGTAATGCTGCTGTGTGAATTCCTGGCAGCTCTCTAAACTGGGCTCAGGGCTTTCAAGGACTGTGGGATTCTCCTGTAGTAAGGACTACAAGTGTTTGTGGTGACAGTGGGGGTTGGTGGAGTTTCTCCACTTACTTTTTTTTCCACGAGGGGAAGTCTCTCTTGACTTCAGGTTGATCTCATCATAGGAGACAGGATAGTAGAGGCAGGATGGCTCATTAGTCTCTCTACAGTGCCCTCCTGGACTTCGGAGCACCACAGGGACCTCTCATCTCCCCTGCTGCCTTCTAGTGCTCTCTCTTCAATACTCCAGTTAAATTCTATCTGTTTATTCTTTGCCTTGTTTCTTTTCTTATGGGGAGGATGAGTGTCATGTGCCTCTAGTCAGCCATCTTGCTGACTTTACATTACGAACTTTTAAATAGGTATGTTTTAAATAGTTTATATGAAATCCCAGTAAAATCTGTAAACAAACAATTGGACCTTGATGAAGGTGGAGATGATCCTGATTTTCTTTATTATCCGGTTATGTCTTTGTTTTTATTGTTGTTTTGTTTTGCCTTCAATTACTATATATTTTTCCTAAAATTTCAAATTGTTTATGAAAATGTGATTTAAGTATGTCAGTGTGGTTTTGCTCTGAAGGATTACTAAAGGGCACATAGGCTTGTAGGACAGTGTTTTCTGTAACTCCCTAGAAAGAAGGTTTCTTCATCAGGAGTGTCATTCTATGAAAGAAAGCTTATGTGTTGCTTTCCTAATTCTTAAATAAGAGCAAGATATCACAGAAATACTTAACTGTTGTTAACATCTACCTTTTGCTTATCGATGAAAGAGAACATGAGCTATCACATGTGAGTGAAGCAAGGCAGAACGATAAGTAGGAGAAAGGAATGGTTAGATAGGAAATGCAACTAGAAGGGAAAATAAATGGGAACTCGAATATTTTAAGGACTCCATCTTAACCCATGTTAATTCATAAGAAAAATCTTACACATTAGGAGAAAAAATAACTAGTTGGATAAATACACATGCACATAAAAAAATAACTTTCACAGGATTTTGTCATTAAATACATTTAGAGAAGTTAGCCTGACCCATACTTCTGATTTCAAAATCCATAAATACCAACATATATAACAAAATGAGATAGTATAGGAATTTGATAGGAATATTTGTTTCTTCATATATTAGTAATATTCCACCAGTTCTACCATCCCATTTCTAATATTTGAATAGATGGGTGGTGGCCACTCTAGATATTCATTTTATAAATGCAATTTCCAACAGTTAGCTGTATCATGTGAGTTTTCCTCTATAGTGCTGACTTTTTCACCAGTGAACTCAATTGGCTGTTTGTTCAAATTCCCCACTGAAGAAACTAAAGACATGTATTTAAGTTCCTAGTGTAAAAATGTGTTGAGACAATAGATGAATTCATTTACTGAGTATGCTGGCCAGTATGACTTGACACAGATTAACATTCTCCTACTTCTGTGGAAAATACCACAAATACTTTGCTCTGTTGGTGGTATAGAAATAAAATAAGATGATACATGAAGTTTGTCTAAACTGTAGATGGCATTTTGGTCCTTAAATTGGTTAATTCCTCTCTAATAACCATTTCAGAATATTTGAGCATTTTACTAGAGTTTATTTATTTTTTCACTGGGTATGTAGACTTGCGAAAGTCTTAAAAGTCTCTCCATATCACTAGATAAAGAAAAAATTCATTTGTTCCTAACCACAAGGTTCAGCATTTGTATAGATTTGCATGAGAAACACAGAAAATCCATGCAGAGACAATGTTCTTTACAATGCTTTTTCATTAAATATCTTTCATCTCTGTTCTTGATTCCTATTTTAGCTGCTCTTTCCTGTCAGACCTGAGCTCATATGCCTAGGAGTTTTTGACTGAAGCACAACATCACTCTTGCCTCATTTTTCATGTCACAATTTTCCCACAGAATAGGAAGTTTTAAACTGATAATAAATTACAATGAAACCAAGCTGACATAGAATTCCTAGCTTGCTAAATTGTGGGCAGCACCCTGCCAAGTGGAAGGTGTCTAGAGCTGCACTGTGACCATCACATATGTTCTCCTACATTCCATGACTATATTTCTTAATGCTTCACATTTTGCATTAAAACAGTGAAGACCTCACTGCCAAACAGCTGTGATTTTGCAGAGCTCTCATGTCTAATAATATCCCACTGGCTAGATGAGATATAACGTAGACTATGAATAACCACTTATTTGTGGTTAAGAAAAAGCATACATGGCTTCTGCTTCTGATAGTGTCCACTCTGTACTTTCCTTTGCAATATTAGATAGCTATTAATTTTTCAGGATAATACTTAGGGTACAAAGAAGTGTATTTCATTGCTTAACTCATGTCAACTTATTATGGGGCTTTAGCTTCTCCCTACTCACTTGATAATTTTAGCTCACAAACTTAGTGTTTCCCTTCCTTTTATATGTCATGAAACATGCAGATGATAATATTTGTTTGGCATATTGGCATCGGAGTAAAATGAGGCTGTCTCTAAGGTTCTGTTCACTACAAAGTCTGGACAATCATTATATTAGTATACATTTGGCTGTTTATTAGTGGCATATTCATTAGGAGGCTTTGTAACTACCTCTTTACTGACAGTTGCTAAGAAAGCTATTACTTTTTTTTTTTTTTTTTTTTACAAAAAGTTTTCAAAGTCCTCTCAGAGAAGAGTATCATTCTTGAAAAAAAAAAAAAAAAAAAGATGTGAAATTAAGAGAGTATCCAGTCCTTTAGGTTGTCTAGAAGTCCTGGCTGATACCACATTCCATGGACCTGTGTAGTCTATGGAGCCATCAACTCCCCATTCTTCTGGTTATACAAAATGATATTGAAGATTCTCGCATGTTAAAATTTATGGAGAGTAATCTCTGAGATTACTGTTCTACCTCAATCACAATTATCCCAGAATATAAGAAATGAAAAAAACAAACAAAAATGGTCCACATTTTTGTCCAGGAGGGAATGAGGACAGATGAAAGCTTTGAGCGACTAATTACACCCATACCTATAGATGCAGCCGTACAACCCACATGACCAGTGTGTGATTTGCTCACTTATACCACTCCACTCCTCTTCTAAAGTCTTTCCAATTTTCTTTTCAAAGCTTACTATACATTTAAATTTGTGATATAATGATTAGTCTTAAGCATTTTATTGATTCTCAAGTACTCATAAACTGAGTTTGAGTTAGCAGAACTCAGAGTCAGAGATGTTTTAAATTAACTCAATTATGATAGTAGTCATAGACTTTTTGCTCTTATGTGGAATTTAAGTGGGTGGATACTGTAATTATTGAATGACATAAGTTTTGTTATTTGTAATGAGTTAAAGTCTAAATGCAAACTTAAACATATTACAGTTTGAGTCATTAGCTTATTAATTTTTTATGAAGCTATTATCTATCTTAAGAGCTTGGAGTCTACCAAGTAATTAAGGCAATGTCTCCAAAAATTATACTATTATAAAAAAATGAAATTTCCATATGTTTAATGTTTCAAAAGCAATTATGCACGTTTGCCCAGTGTTATTTAGAACAAACTTCCTGATACTATAAACGTCCCAGAAAAACTTGTTTTTTAAAAAACAAACTTATTATATGTTATCTGACATTGCCCATTCATCTATATACTCACTCTTAGCTATTGGCATGTTGTCAATACAAAGTGCTAACAGTTCATAAATAATTTGACTTCTCTTCCTCTCCCATCTTGAGATCAAAATATTCCCTAAGTTCAGCTATTATGTCTCATGTGTTATTTGAATCCATCATACTATTTAAATCCTTTTGTTTCCACAGTGATTCAGTTTCTTGCCCTCTTGCTCTTGGATCATGGTAGTAATTAACTATGTGTCCAAACTATTTTTTACTCTACTGAAATTACGATTTTTAAAAGGCAAAGCTAATTATATTATTCACTGACTTAATTATAAATTCACTGCCAAAGTTTCCTATAATCTACAAGTTATGTTTCAAACTCCTTAGCAAATTTATTGATTAACTGGCCCCTATCTACCCCTTCACCCTGAAACCACAACTTCCTTCTCCTTATTACATGGTTTACTTTTAATTACATCAGCTGTATGCATGATGCATTCCTTCAACAAATGTGCATTAAATCCCCGTAATGTGCCAAGTGCTGTGCTAAGCATTGGTAATTTAATAGCAGGCAAGTGAAATATGTCCTCAGGAAGCTACAATGTTCTAGGCATGAATATAACAAAATTGGCAATAGTAATATACCATAACAAGTGATATGATGTGCTTAGGAGTAATGCTCAATAATTAGATAGGTCAAGAGAATGGAACGGGGTTGCCCATGTAGGGGACAATAGCTTACACATTTGTAATTATGTTTGTATCAGAGACAGCATGGAATATACAAAGAGCTGGGACACGGTTTTGCTAAAGCACGGGGGTACACACAGGGGGAAGAGCACAGTGAAGTGGCATAATATGATTACATTTGTATTTTTATAAGGTTTATTTGATTTCTTTGTAGAGAATAAATTGAAGAAAGGCCACATTAGATGCAGGAAGACAAACTGGAAACTATTCCAAAAATTTGGTTATGAAATAATGGTGACTTGACCTGGGTATAACCCTGGGTGTGGTGAGAAAAGGATAAATTTGGTAAACATTTCAGAGGCACAAATGATAGAACCTAACGACTGAAATGATCTTGGGAAAAAGGAGAATGAGATAGAGAGGATATTGTCCTGGTTTGTGGCTTAG
This sequence comes from Homo sapiens, assembly GCF_000001405.40. NCBI lineage: Eukaryota > Metazoa > Chordata > Mammalia > Primates > Hominidae > Homo > Homo sapiens. The sequence goes on from NC_000007.14 coordinate 89,026,713, forward strand.
CAAATGAGTTTCCTGATGGTATCACATACTAGTAGAGCAAACCCAGGAGAAGTGAGAAGCCTGTAATAAAAGATAGAAGTTCCAATTTAGACACGATGATTTTAAGATTTGGTTGGACACCCAAATGGAGCTTTTGGTGAAGAGATGAATATGGTGGTCTGGCTCTTAGGAAAAAAGTCTGAACCACTGATTCATATTCAGAAATCTTTAGCATAAAGATATTCTAAGAAAGTGGATAACAATATCCAAGGATAATTTAGAGTGAGAAGAAAAGTTGGCCTTAGAATAAAATTCCTGAGAAATATCAATATTTGGAACATCAATAAGAAATAAAGAGTTGACAAATGAAATAAAGGTGAGGCAAGAAGAAAGTGATTATAAAAAACCCATGAGAGAGAGTTTAGAATAATAGATCAAAGAAAGTAAAACACTGACTGAAAAGTATCCACTGGATTGTATAAAAAGCAAATCATTTTTTACATGCAAGATAATGATAAAGTTGAACATGTTTAAATGCTGCAGAAAAAAAGCCAGAGAGAGAGAGAGACAGAGAGAATCTTCTCTGGAAGATACAGGGAATAAAAATAAGAGTCCTTAAAGCTAGCTCTCTGAGGATGTTCGATAGGAAAAGGATTCTGCACAATGGTAGATGGACTAACCTTAAAATAAGAGAATTTCTTCCATTGTAATAAAACAAAACAAAACAAAAAGATGCAGTTGAGGTTGTGAGTTTAGCATTTATAACAGAAAAACAATAACCTTAGATTTCTCAGCCCTTCTTTCCACCCTACAAGAAGCTAATTACATTTTATACTTTCAACATCTATTCAGTAAAACTACAGACACTTTTATGAGAGTTCAGTGGCCAAAATAGAGAATATTCTTATTCATATTCTCTCGCTCTCCCTCTCTCATTATGTATAGGAAGAGAGAACCTCTCCCAGGTGGGTCTGCACTGTTATATGTGAGCCTTCAATGTGAAAACGAAGAAGGTCATGAAAGCTCTTCTCAGACAATACAATACTTTTTGAACGGCAAGGCCCTAAAATCTAGAGATCAATTCAGGGAAGATGCAAATTTTGGTCTCATCCCTGAACTGGTCAGATGAGTGTCCAGCCCAAGAGCTCTTATATTACTTGGTGCAAGTGCTTATGCCCTCAATGTTCTGCTTTTTCTAGTGGGTAAAATTAGGCAGTTGGTCATCTCCTTGTTTGCCTTTTCTGCAGACAAAGAAGGCTGTACTGGAATGTCAGTTTGTGAATCCTTCAACGTTTTACCACTGGAATTTGTTTGTTCTTGCTTGTCTAATAAAGTGCTTTCTTTACATATTTACTCAACCCATGATTCCTGACCTCATCATGTATATCCAGCATGTGACCTTTGAAACATTTGAGTGGTACATAATTATAGAGTGGTTTGTTATGATAGTGATATATTTTTAAAATGTCAATATATAACAAATAATATAAATAGTAAGGAATACCCTGAAGTGAGCATTTTATACAATAATCTTAACCCAATATTGGCAGGAACTTGAGTTAATTACAAACAGCAACTTGATTAGCTTGTGAAATAGAAAGCAGTCATATGAAAAGAGTGAGCAAGAAAGTTGTGCATTTGGAAATTTCAGGATGATAGAAAACATTAAAATGGCATTGAGGAGAAAGCTCTAGAAAGGTAAACAAGATTGCTGAGCAGCTTCAAACACCAGTTGAGGTTGGAAACTATGAAGATATAGTTAACTTACTGTGTGCAATTATAAAATATACCGTGTGGGTGGTGCATTTGTGGGGCCATTTTGTGGTTTTTGAATGCCGTTTTCTACTTCATCTGTTCATTCATGTAGAGAAACTTAATCCTTTAAGAATCAACTCATGTGCCTCATTCTCTGTGATTTCTTCTCTAATCATCGAGCAGGGCATGCCATACAGTAAGCGTGCCATAAATGTTTCTTGAAATGATTAAAATTATGCTTTGTTTGTGCTGACCCTTTTACAGTGATTTTAGTCAACTACTTATGTTCTTTGTTCTTCAGCTTCCTTACTTGTCAAACATGAATAATAACAATGCCTATTTCATAGGGTTGTTTTGTGGATTAAATGAGTTCACACATATAAAGAACCTGAAGTAGTACCTGGAACAATTTAAGTGCTCAATTAAAATTAATCATGATAATTATTATTATCAAGCAATTGTTATTATTATATTTAATTCTATGTCCATCACTTATTTACAGGAATTGATCTCCTACTAGCCTGCAAATTATTTAGCAAAGTGGTCCTTTTGTTTTCAAGAACTTACTATGAGCTTGACATAGAACCAGCACACATAAGTGCTTATGAACAAATGAATGACAATGAATAATAGCTGAATGTTTTTTGGAAAAGCTAATATTTGTTTGTTTGTTTTGAGACAGAGTCTCGCTCTGTTGCCAAAGCTGGAGTGCAATGATGCGATCTCTGCTCACTGTAACCTCCACCTCCCGGGCTCAAGCAATTCTCCTGCCTCAGCCTCCCGAGTAGCTGGGATTACAGGCATGCACCATCACACCCAGCTAATTTTTATATTTTTACTAGAAATGGGGTTTCACCATGTTGGCCAGGCTGGTTTCGAACTCCTGACCTCAAATGATCCACCCACCTTGGCCTCCCAAAATGCTGGGATTACAGGTGTGAGCCACTGTGCCTGGCCTAGAAAAGCTAATATTCACAGAAGAAGAATATCCTGAGATGTAATATGGGATTAAGGGAAAACATACACACAGGCTTTGGAATCAGACTAAGTTTCTAGCTGGGAAATCCTAAGCAAGCTATTTAATTTTCTTGAGCCTCAAGTTGTTCATCTGTAAAATCAATATAACTGTACTCAACTCATAGAGTAATGATGATTGCATGTATTTTATACTAAAGATGTAGATGTTTGGTTATTACTCTCATCACCAACTTCATCAGCGGGGTCATTATTGTCATTCTTATGGTCATCAGATTGACCTTTTGATTACCAGACTTAACATAATGATACAAAACACCTCAGTAACAGCTTCCTAAAATGTAACTTTCATTTTAATTAGATTATCCTTTCAGTAATGTAATTGAGTGTTAGAAGCTGGAATGGGGGCTGCTGCTTAGGAATTTCAGGTGGTACTGTATTAGTAATATTCTGATATTTGTCTACTTAATGAGAGCAGCAATTCAGTACAAAAAGAAAAGGCTCTGTTTTGACGTAAAAATCTGATATATAAAGAGTCTTATTTTGGGAACAAAACAACTAAATATATCAGGGTTGTGGTTACGTTACCAGCTGCAAGCATTAGTCATGACTGTGTTATAAAAGAGTTAATTAAATTCTTTGGGTGAAGGAGGTGCAGAAGGAAGTCAACACAGTCTTCTGATGAGATGAGTCACTGTGATCATATCAGAAAAAAGCACAGGAGCTGAAGAAAGTCTGGGTCCCAGACTGATGCCATATTGCAGGATCAGCCTGTGTGAAAAGCCACTGACCAATAGGAAGCTCAGACAAAATAGTTTAGTGTCATCTGAAGTCTCATCAATACATAAGCAGTTTGAATTTGTGTATGCAATTTTATTTAGCATATTTTCAAGGACCATAGGAGAATAAACGTCCTTGGATTCATGACTATTGCTGTTGAAGAGTGGGTTTGGGTATAATGAGTAATTTCTTCCCATACTAAATAATATTGCTATATCAGAGAGTATATTGATTTATTAATTAATATGTATGCTTGATCATGACAAAAAAAACAAGATGAAAACATGTAGATTTATCAAGACTTCTGTTAGCCTCATGACTTTCCATTCTGCTGTTATGTGTTGCCTACATCTCCCTCACTCATCAGTCTTGAGTTTTATGATTCTAATCTGTCAAATATCTTAACTTTTTTTGGTCCAGCCTCATCTCTCAAGTAAATTTTAGAAAACGGTGTTTTCCATTTCCCTTGTCTTTTTCCTAATTTATTTTCCACATTATGTGAAAAATATTCTGAAACCCAAATCAGTCACATAATTTCTATTCAATTGCTCCCTTTTGTCTTATAGGTTCACTTAGCACATAATAAAGGGCCATTTGTGATCTGACCTTGACCCTCCAGTTTTAATGAAGTGTGGTTTCTCCCTGCAATATTATGCTCCAGCTATAGTGGTAGCTGCTAAATGTATTATTCAGTTTCTTGGTGATGTTCCTTTGTAAATGTTGTGAGCTTTTCTTGGAATGCCCTTCCTTTGGCCTTCATTACTTAGCAAATGCTGGTTTTCCCTTAAAAACCCTGCATTACACACTGGGGCCTTTTGGGGGCTGGGGGGTTGGGGGAGGGATAGTGTAAGGAGAAATACCTAATGTAAATGATGAGTTGATGCGTGCAGCAAACCAACATGGCACATGTATACTTATGTAACAAACCTGCACATTACGCACATGTACCCTGCAACTTAAAGTATAATAATAAAAATATATATGTGTATATATATATATGTGTGTGTGTGTATATATATATATATCAGAAATAGGAAAAAAAAAACCCTGCTCAGACATTTCCTCTTCTGTAAAACTTTCTCTGACTATACCCACCTAGACTCAATTACCCTTTGCGCACGGCCCCTGTGTCACCATGCACAATATTTCATTATGGCAGTCTTCACACACTCTTATAATCATTTCTTTGTACAACTGCCTTCTTCAATAAACCCTGAGCTATTTAAGAACAGGGAACATTTTTCTCTCAGTCTCCAAAAAGCTTGTCACAAGGTAGAAGACAAATAAAATTTTGTTGAACTTAATTTCTAAGTGATATAATATGGATAATGAAAAACTTTTTCAGTGGAGTAGTGTAAATGGCAGCAAAAACATACATCCTAATTTTTTTTCCTTGTTCTGCCATTAAAATTTACAGGATGTGGAAAAGGCAAATATTTTCTTTAGGCTTCTGGTTTTTGTTTTTTTTTTTTTCCCAAATGTACAGCGAAAGATTTGAATAACTAATACCCAAGTCCCTTTTTTACAAACATGTATTATGACTTTGTCTATACTGAGACACTCTCTTAAAATAGTAGTATGACCTTATTTTATAATTTAATTTATATCATTTCATGTTGAAAGTGAATTTACATCTTTAGGTAATAGGCAACCTTTTCAAAAATCAATGTCGTTCTGAGGCTGAGATTCATAAAGCAAATGGAATTGTTTAGCGTAGCTAGATTTTATTTCATATTGACAAATGCTTATAATATTTGTGCAATAGGTTTTTTTTTTTCTTGATACAACCTGTTCAGTGGCTTAGAGGCAAATACTGTGTGATCTCATTTATTTGCAAGCTTTCCTTTTTGGAGAATAAATGATATATCAGCTCAAGATCACACAGCTATTTTATTTTGAGTTGAAATAAATCCTAAGATACTAAATATGATAGGATTAGTTAATCTTTTGCAACATTTTCAGAACGTTGATTTTTTTCCCCCTCAAGTTTTATGTCATAGTGATAGGAGCATTTCAAAGAAGACCAGAAATGGTTTCAAATTTTTGTGGCTTGTAGGAAATGTATGCCCCGAAAACTCTTTATAATACATTCTTGTGTTGGGGGGACAGGATGTGGGGTGGGGGAGAGAATGAGTTAAGGGGGATAAATTCAGACTCAATAAATATTTAAATGTTTCTGGAAAAGATTCAACTAGATTTTAAAGTAAATGTTACATGTCAGAAACTAATAAATGAGATATAAGATTAATGAGTCTTTAATTTTATATGAGATAGATAGTACAGGTTTACTTACTTTCTTTTCTTCATTTCAGAATATTTTCAAAATTACAAGGTTATCTTTATTTCAATAAGGGTGTTTACATTTAAAAGTCTGTCACATTGAGAAACATGAAAATATACATAGAGCTGGATTTTAAGAGCAGTGTAAATACCTGCATCATTGGTGAAGGCACAGGGGCTTCACAAGTTGATCAGCCTTGAGGATGAAAGTCAGTTTGAAAATAAGAGAGACATCAGGGAGTAGGAGGTAGGCACATAGGGAAATTGTTAGGTTTGCAGACATAACCTACCTGGGAATGCAGAAACTTTTACTTTATTTTTAAAAATTTTAATTATAAATACACAAATATGGTTGCATATATTTATGGCATACAAGGTGATGTTATAATTTATGAATATAATGTGGAATAATTAAATGATTCTAATTAGCATATTCATTACCTCAAATAGTTATCATGTTTTGTGATAAAAACATTTGAAATTTATTCTCCTGGTTATATTTAAATATACAATAAATTATTTATGACTATGGTCACTTCTTGTGCAATATATTTAAAAGGAAAAAAAAAAACCGTATCCCTCCTGTCTAATTGAGGCTTTGTATCCTTTGACCTTCATCTTTCCATCACCCCCCACCACTTCCACTCCTACTCCCCAGCCTCTGGTAACCACCATTCTAACCTCTGCTACTTTGAGTTCTATTGTTTTAGAATCCATGTGTAAATGAGATCATGTGGTATTTGTCTTTCTGTACCTGGCTTATTTCACTTAGCATAATGTTCTCCAATTCACGTTGTCACAAATGAAGGAATTTCTTTATAAAGGCTGAATTAGTATTCAGTCATGTGTACATATTTCATGTTGTTTAGCCATTCATCTGTTGATGTACACTTAGGTTGATTTCATGACTTGGTTATTATAAATAGTGCCACCACAAACATAGGGGTGCAGTCATCATTTGACCAACTGGTTTCAAATATTTTGGATAAATACTGAAAAGTGGGAGTGCTGGATCATAGAGTAATTCTATTTTTAGTATTTTGTGGAACCTACACACAGTTTTCCATAATTAATGTACTGACTTAAATTCCCGCCAACAGTGTACAAGCAAAACCCTCTATGCTAATAAAAAATATAGTTCGTTTCCCATTGAATGTGAAACTTAAAACATGAATTTGTAAAAAAAAAATTATGTAAATACATTTTCAACAAAGGAAAAGAATACCTTTCCTGATGAATGACATAATTAAATAAATATGAAAGGAAATATTGTTCTAAAAACTAATTAGGGTTAAATTTAAGAATTTAAAGAAGAAAATATTGAAAATTTATTAATAAATAGGTGAAAGGTCTTTCTGCTTTGTATCTTCATTTTTTTCAGTTATGTTATTTAGAAGATTAATTATCTGATTAAAGAACTATGATCATTTATTGCATCATTTTTCATAACTTTTATTATTAGTGTAGCATCAACATTTACAATACAAGTTTCATTGTTCCTTTTTAAACACGAAGAAAACATAATAATGTGTTAAATAATTTTTTAGGTCTAATTGATCTCTTCCTACATATTCATTTGCTGTAGTTGTATCTATTGTATTTATTTGTTATTGAATCCCAGCTGAAGAATTTCAAAGTTGTTTTATGTTTAATTCACTTAATAAGCATTTATTGAGTACTGCATATATTAGGTCCTGGAGGGTGGAGATTATAGGTTAATAAAGCAAAGTCACTGCCATATAATTAGAAAGAAGACTTTTTTTGAAGTTTTACATTTATTTATTTATTTATTTTTATTCTACTTTAAGTTCTGGGATACATGTACAGAATGTGCAGGTTTGTTACATAGGTATACATGTGCCGTGGTTGTTTGCTGCAACCATCAACCCACAATTTCTCCTAATGCTATCCCTCCCCTAGCCCCCTACCCCCCGCCAGGCCCTGGTGTGTGATGTTCCCCTCCCTCTGTCCATGTGTTCTCATTGTTTAACTCCCACTTATGAGTGAGAACATGCGGTGTTTGGTTTTCTGTATCTGTGTTAGTTTGGTGAGAATGATGGCTTCCAGCTTCATCCATGTCCCTGCAAAAGGCATGAACTCATCCTTTTTTATGGTTGCATAGTATTTCATGGTGTATGTGTGCCACATTTTCTTTATCCAGTCTATCACTGATGGGCATTTGGGTTGGTTCCAAGTCTTTGCTATTGTGAATAGTGCTGCAATATACATACATGTGCATATATCTTTATAGTGGAATGATTTATAATCCTTTGGGTGTATACCCAGTAATGGGATTGCTGGGTCAAATGGTATTTCTGGTTGTAGATCCTTGAGGAATTGCCAGACTGTCTTCCACAATGTTTGAACTGATTTACACTCCCACCAAAAGTGTAAAAGCATTCCTGTTTCTCCACATCCTCTCCAACATCTGTTGTTTCTTGACTTTTTAATGATCACCACTGAGATGTTAGTTTATTATACTCTAAGATCTATTGAGGAAACTGCAGTGTGAATTTCTACAACTGCACATTGCACATTCACATATCACCATAGACAATTACATTTTGGGGGAAGAAATTACATGTGAATGAGCATTTTGGAGAAATATGATGGTGAAAGGAGTATTTTAGAAGACGAGATTTTACCTAAATTTTCAATAAGTGTTCTAAACTAGATATCACATTTTTTATTAGACAATATTTTGAAAAGACCCACCTGCTGAAAAGAAAGAACAAACATGGTTACTGTTATAATTATTGATTCAGAGGGGATGTTATGTATGTAGGAAAATCACAGGCAATTCATTAAAAAACTCTTTTGGTAGCTTCTATCACCAGCAAAGAAAATAGTTTAATTTCATTTTACTGTAGTTCAAAATCCTCCCCAGGGTGTAATTCTGATTTTTTGTCACAGGAGCCAATTGTGTTATTAGAATAAGAAAATGGTGTATTTTAAAAAAATCAGCTACGTTGGCTTTTTATTCTGATGATAGGAAATTATGTGTGTGTGTGTATGTTTCACACATGATGGAAAAAAATGAGTAAGACATAAATCTTCAGAATTAAAGCCCGGAAGCAAAGTGTATGTTCCAGTGAAGACTTTAAGTGACAGCGTGACGAACTTTTGATCAGTGTTTCTTATCATGGAGTAATTTCTTGATCAATTAACAATCAATTAGAATTTCAGACATGGCTTAGATGGCATGATCCTATTTCAAAAATGTAATGAGCCAAAAAAAATGGGTTGGCAGATTCCAAAATCTATGAATATACTGATTTAAGAACAGGAAAAACATTCAAATGTCATATTTTTGTTAGTACATTGGACCCGTAGGGTATGGGAAAAATAATATACTGGGATATTTGCAGTCATTCCAAATATATATATTATATTATATATTCATATACATTATATTATTATATATTTATATATTATATATAATATATTAATATATTATATTATATATTTATATTATATACAATACATATTATATATTGTAGTATAGTATATATTATATGATATATTAATATATAGTATATATTAATATGTTATATATATATAATCCAAGTTAAAGCAATAGAACAAAACACAGTATGTGGTACCTGCAGTGCTCACTGCAATTGAACATTCAGTATTAACTCTTAATTCCCTTGAAATAAAACCAAAATGGGTCATATATAGAGATATATAGTTCTTAAGCTGCCTGAGACAAAATTCCGAATTATCCACTTATTAGTTATTTGCAAATTATTGACTTTATTCTTGGCTAAACTTTATCCATGAAAAGAGAAAAGAATATTACCTTAATCATGAGGATATTGTAAGAATTGCAGGTAATACTATATGTAAGACCCTTAACACTGATGTGCACAGACAAAATGCTTAATATTAATGAATATTAGCAGTTAATAATGTTATTAATATTAGTATTATGGTAAATAAAATTATGGTAATTTATGTGAGGGGATTCCTTCTTCCTGCTTCTCCTACCCCAGCAACTAAATTTAAATAAAGCATTTATGATAAGGGTAAAACGGAAATTAGTTAATATGATTTTTATTTAAGTGTGGTTTTTGAAAAAGACAAATGATTGTATTTTACAAAACTATGTTTCTTTTATCAACTCTATACAGAAACTGAGACCTTAGTCTTAATGTATAACTTAGAAAAGAGTTTTTCATGACAAAGTGCTGAAACAATATGGTGTGGACACCTGATTTCCTGGTAATCTAATTTAATACAGTGGTAAAACTTGGATGTTGGACACATTATGCTGTCCCTTCCAATCACTAGGAGTCTGAAGTAGCTGGTGTTGGGTTGGACTCACTTCCAAGCTGAATTTTTTTGAATAAAGGGCCAATATTGTTTGATGACTATGGTAAGGTCTGTATGCTTAAATTGTCAGACAATAAACAGTCAGAGTTGGCATTCTGTTGTGAAGATGTGGAAATCAAAATTGGTTCTTGCTATGATGTTTAATCTACTTTTTCACATCAGTGAGTCTCCAAAATGCCTCTGGGTATAGCTGACATTTTCCTGCAGAATGAACTTTAAATCTTTTTAATTACTTGCCACATTACACGAATGAGACAATTTTAACCTAAAGAAAATGTAAGGGCAGATGTTATCAGTTAATCATTCTAACCAAAAAGAAAAAAATATTCCTCTGAGTCCTATGGGCAATGCTCACATTTCAGTAGAAATGTATTCAAGTTGACCTGCCAGAATGAGTTGGTTCCTTGCAATACCAATAGAAAATCAAATATAGTAATCATTTAGAATGTACAGACCACCAACATGCTTAAGAATGTCCACTAAATAGCATAATTGCTGCTTTTAGTTGTGTTTTACCAGTGTATATATCATCACACTAGAAAAAGCTGTTGATTGTGGTATTTGTTGTAATCAAACCAAATCAATTTAACACATGTACCAATTATTTAAATATAAACTTAAAATTTGAGGGTGCACATTTAGATTATAGTATTAGTTATATATGTATATATTTATTTTTACCTAGCCTTATTGACCTATAATTGACAAATGAAAATTGTATATGTTTATAGTGCACAATGTAATGCATGGATATATATATATATATATATTTTGAAATGATTACTACGATCAAGCTAATTATTGTATCCATTGCCTCACACAGTTATCAGTTTTTGTGTGTGATAAGATCATTTAAGTTCTACTCTCTTTGTAAATTTCAAGTATACAATACATTATTAAGTATAGTCACCATGCTATATATTAGATCTCCAGAATTTGTTCATCCTGCCTAACTGGAACTTTCTACCCTTTGACCAACTCTTCCCACTTCCCCTATGCCCCAGCCCCTGGCATCTGCCGTTCTAAGCGGCAAATGAACTTTTATAAGTTCAACTTGTTTAGATACCACGCATGAATAAGATTATGCAGCATTGTCTTACTATGCCTGGCTTATTTCACTTAGCATAATGTCTTACAGGTTCATTCATGTTGTCTCAAATGGCTGAATTTTCTTCTTTTGTAAGGCTGAATAATACTAAATTCTGTACACATGCACATACACACACATGCATATCATATTTTCTTTATCCATTAATCTATTGATGTGCACTTACATTGATTCCATATCTTGTCTTGTGTCAATAATGGTGCAATAAACACTGGGGTGCAGGTATCCCCTTGATATACTGATTTTACTTACTTACTTTAGATGTATCCTCAGAAGTGGGATTGCTGGATTGTTTTTAATTTGTGAGAAACCTCCATACTCTTTTCCATAATGTGTATACTAATTTACATTTCTACCAACAGTGTACGAGAGTTCCCTTCTCTCCACATCCTTGCCAACACTTACTTTTTGTCTTTTTGATAAAAAACATCAAAACGAGTGTGAGGTGATATCTCATTGTGGTTTTAATGCATATTTCTCTAATGATTAGTAATGTTAAGCATCTTTTAACATATCTATTGGCCATCTGTATGTATTCTTTTGAGAAACATTTATTCAGGTCCTTTGCTCAGTTTTTAGTTGGGTTATTTGTTTTCTTGCTATTGGATTGTTTGAGTTCCGTATGTATTTTGGTTATTAACTCCTTATCAGATATATGGTTTGCAAATATTTTTGCTCATTCTGTAGGATGTCTCTTTACTCTATTGATTTGTTACCTTTGCAGTGTGGAAGCTATTCAGTTTGATATAATCCCATTCACCTAGTTTTGCTTTTATTGCCTTTGTTTTGGGGTTATATTCAAATAATCAGACCAATATCAAGAAGCATTTCCCCTATGTTGTCTTCTAGAATATTTAAAGTTTTAAGTCTTCCTGTTAAGTTTTTAATCCTTTTTCAGTTGATTTTTGTATATGATGTGATACAAAGGTACAATTTAATTCTTCTGGAAGTGGATATCCAGTTTTCCCAGTACCATTTATTAATGAAACTGTCCTATCTCCACCATGTATTTGTGGCATTTTTACTGATGAACAATTGACCATAAAAGTGATGACTTATTTTTAGGCTCTTTATTCTGTTTTATTGGCCAGTATGGTGATTTTCTATTTTTTTTATTGCCAATATCACGACATTTTGATTACGGTACCTTTGTAGTGTATTTTAAAATAAGGTACTATGATGCCTATGGCTGTGTTCTTTTTTCTTAAGATTTGTTTGGCTGTTTGCTGCCGTTTGTGGTTTTATACTACTTTTAGGAATTTTCTTCTTGTTTCTGTGAAAAATGCCATTACAATTTTAATAGGGATTTTATTGTTTCTGTAGATTGCTTTGGGTAGTGTAAACATTTTTTGTTTGTTTGGGTAGTATAAACTTTGGGTAGTATAAACAATATTAATTCTTCTAATCAATTAACATGGGTTATCTTTCCATTATTTTGTGTTCTTTAAATTTCTTTTATTATTGTGTTTTAGTTTTTAGTGTACAGATCTTTCACCTCCTTGATTAAATATATTTCTAAGCATTTTGTTTTATGCTATTATAAATGAAATTGTTTTCATAATTTTTTTAGATAATTTACTATTACATGCTACTAATTCATATATGTTGATTTTGTCTTCTGCAAATTGAATTTATTTATTCTCACAGTTTTTTTTGGTGGAAATTTTAAGGTGTTCTGTATAATCATCTAAAAACAGAAAAAATTTATTTTTTTCTCTTCAAGTGTCTTTTTTTTTTCTTGTAGGCACTATCTAGAACTTTCAGTATAGCATTGCAATAGAAGGAAAGAGCATTCTTATCCTATGTCCTCCATCTTTTCTGGGTATAGTTTTTTTGGTTGCCAGTTTTTTTATTGTAACACACTGAATTTATCGTCTCATACTCTCCTGGAGTGCATGGTTACTGTTGAGAAATTCACTGATGGTTCTAACAGAGTTTCTTTCATATGTGATAAGTTGCTTTTCTCATGCTGCTTTCGAAATTCTCTTTATCTTTGACTTTTGAGAATTTTGTTACCGTATGTCTTGATGATGATCTGTTTATGTTTAATCTATTTTGGGTTTTTTGATCATCATGGATCTGGATATTCATTTTCCTCTCCAGATCTGGAGATTTTTCTGTTATTATTTATTCAAATATACTTTTATACTTTTTCTCTTTCTCTGCTCATTCTAGGAGTTCTATAGTGCATGCATTGATGCATTTAATGATATCTCATAAATCCCATAGGCTTTCTTTACTCTTTTTTATCCTTTATTTCTTTTTCATCTCATAAATCTCTTATTTATTTATATCTCATAAATCCCATTGACTTTCTTTACTCTTTTTTATCCTTTACTCTTTTTATCTTTTATTTCTTTACTCTTTTTTATCCTTTATTTCTTTTTATTCTTTTGGATAATTTCAAATGACCTGTCTTTGAACTCACTAGTTCTTGCTTCTACTTGATTGAATCTTGCTTCTACTTGACTGAGCTATCTGTTGGATTTTTCAGTTTAATTATTGTGTTATTCAGCTCCAGAATTTTTGTTTGGTTCTTTTCTATGGATTCTATCCCTTTCTTAAAACTCTGATTTCATTGATACATTGTTTTCTTATTTTTGGTTAGTCGTATGTCTATGTTCTCTTATAGCTCACTGGGCTTCTTTAAGACAATTTTGAATTATTTGCCAGACAGTTTGTAGATCTTCATTTCTTTAGGGCCAGTTAATGGTGATTTCTTTTATTCCTATTATGGTATTGTGTTTCTTTGATTATTTGTAATCCTGTGGACTTGCATTGGTGTCTGTGGTTTTAAAGAAGTGGACACCTCTTCTAGTCTTTGTAAACTGGCTTCACCAGGGAATGTCCTTCATCAGTCAGCCTTTCCAGTTATTACGTGCAGTTTATCTGATGGGGTCTGTGTGTGCCAGCCTGGTGTTGGGACAGGGCCTAGAGCCTGAGACTGTGGAAGCTGGCCTGGTGCTAAAGTGGAACTGTTATCTGGGTCTATGGAGATGTCCTGAGTTTGTGGGAACCATCTTGTGCTGAGGTCAACTGGGGTAGGTCTGGTTATTGGGACCATAAAGGTGGGTCTGGAGTCTGGATCTGTGGGGCCAGTCTTGTGAAGATCTCCTGGGGTAGGCCTGAACCCTGGGTCCATGGAGCCTTGGTCCTTGGTAGCTGGCCTGGAACCTTGGTCTATAGGGACTGGCCTGAAGCATGGGTCCATGAGGACTAACCTCACACTGTGTCAGGCTTTAAGCCTGATTCGAAGGGGCTTGGCCTGACTCTGAGATGTACCTGGAAACTGGATCCAAGGAAACAGATCTGTTCCTGAGTCTGTGGGAGTCAGCCTGAAACTGCAGTTTACTAGAGTGGGCCTGGAGTCTGGGTCTGCCCTGGTAGGCCTGCTACCTGTATCTTTGTGGGCAGGCCTGGTGCCAGGGAACCACAAGGGCAATTCTAGATCCTGGGCCCACAGTGGCCAGCCTGATGCTGGGACAGGTCTTAAGCTTGAGTGTGTAGGAGTTGGCCTGGGGCTTCAGTCTGCAAGTGCCAGCCTGGAGCCTGAGGCCATGAGGGCTGACCTGGCACTGGAGTGTCCTTGGAACCTGGGCTCATGTGATTGAGTCTGGAGACTTGGTCTTTAAGGACTGGCCTGGCACCAAGCTAAGCCTAGATTCTGAGACCACGGGGCCTTGCCTAACACTGGGACACTGGGATTTGGTGGGATGGGGCTGGTGTCGAAGTTTGTGGTAACATCAGGTATTCACTTCCCTTTCCTTTCCTCGAGCAGGACACAACTCTTTTCACACTGTGCTGTTCAGGCTTGTGGGAAGGGTTTCATGAATAATGTGAACTGTCCTTGCTACTTTTTACAATGTGTCTTTTCTCATATCTGTGCCCCACCACTTGCTATAATTTGTCAGCTAAATTTCTTAGCTTTTGTGAAGGTATTTTTATCCATAGATAGTTGTTCAAATTAATGTTTCTGTAAGGGAATCAGCACTGCAAAGTCTTATTCTACCATCTTGCAGACATCACCAGTATCATCATATATGACTTAAAATAAGGATTCAAAGTCATTTTTAAAATAAACTATTCCTACCAGAGGAGTCAAAGTGTTATAACAGATCAGTGAAGGCTGAGAAATGTGTTATACTTTTTCTAGTTCAGCTCAACTATAAATAGTAGCAAGTATTGGTAAAGAATAGATTCTAGCTCTGGAACCAGACAGAGAAGGAGATGGACATGAGTCTCAGCTTTAATATTTACTTGCTGTGCACTTCGAACAAGTTATTCAATGTAGATAAACTTCAGTTTCCTCTAATAATAATATGAGGGATAATAATGTAACAGTGTTTCAAAATGCAATCAGAAATGTTATAATATTTCTGAAAGTTCTGTTTGAAGTCTTCTCACTTTGGGAGATGAAAGAAACCAGTTTGAGGTGTTTCATGAGGGTTTTTCATAGAGAATATGAAAAGTGGTTAAAGTTGTCTTACTTGAATAATATGTGGAACTCACACTTAGTATTAGTTCAGACACTGAAAATGATTTGCCCTAAAATATTTACCAAATCTGAGATTTTTTTTCACTACTGATACTGAGTCAAATTTAAAGGCTTGAATTTCTAATGATATGTAAACTTTGTTTTCCTATATAGTTAAGTTATAACCTTTCTGAATAGATCTTAGGGTAAAAAGCTTTCACTGTAAAAATAAGCCCTAATTTCAGCTATCATAATTTGGGACTAATGCAGAGCTAGCCCTGCTCTGAAGGATTGGATACGAATGTGTTTTACTCCTTGAATTCTTCATCTTATCCGAGATTCTACCAGTGAATCAGTGACAACTTTGAAATCTAGAGTTTCTGAATGAGTTTAATCCTCTCCTGTTTCTTAGGCAAAAATAGTTCAAAACATTTTTTTCATAGATCTGAGTATCCTGTATTTATATTATGGATGTGAGATAGGAGCAGGTTTTTAAAATCTGGCCTACAGGTAATGAAATAATGCATATGTTATGTACGCAGGCCAATTTAAATAAGCTATTCTTTTTTAACATACAATCTCATATTCATTTCTATATGCCATTTCATAAAATATGCCTTTTTTATTGACTTCTTTGGGCAGGAATTGTATGTGTAAAACAAATATGGAAATCAAGGACAGCTGTACAATAAATCAAAGTCACAATGCTGAAAGCAGAAACTTGAGACGCTCCTTTAAAAAAATGACTTGTAAATCAACTCATGGTTGCCTGACATTTCCACTGATTAATGCCGGTGTCCTTTGAGGCATACTAATAGGATAAACAAGGAAAAATGGAATTTCTTGCCATAAGATGAGGGTCAGTTTGAAGATATTCATGACTCAGTCGCATCACTTAATCACAAATAGTTGTAACCTGTAGCAGAAATTAATTCAATGTGAATTTTTTACAATTAAACACAGTAGTCTTTGTATTGCTGCACATAATTAACCTTCATTGTCTCAAATTTTTCAAAATAAAACATTTCTACTTTTAATTACAAACATCTAATTTTTGTGAGTTATAACAAAATGGAATATTTTCTGAGTAGGCTATAGAGTAAATTTAGTTCTGAAAGTTCCTGGAATAATGTCATTGAGAAACATAATATAGCATCAGCCATAAAATGTCATGGTTGATGCTCACTGAAAGCCATTCAAAGGAATTCTGTATTAACTTTTGCAAATGCACACTTTGAATTCATAAATCTTTATGGGAACACATTTTAACAAATGTACTGTGGTTTATATTTAAAAGCACTATGTGGTTTATAGTTAAAAGCAATTATGATTCACTCTGTCTGCTGAACTCACTAAAGGGAAGGTCTTCACTGAACACAAGACTCTTAAGAACAGTAAAGATTGTTGTTAAAATTCAGAGTATCAGCCTCCTTCCAAACTGGGCCAGGGACCTCCTTTAATAAGACCAGCTTCAGTGAATATATATTAAGAGATATCAGGAGCTAAAGTAAGTTAATAGAAAAGAAAACATCAAAAGAGTACATTCTAAAGAATTTATGGTATATATACACAATAGAATACTATTCACCCATAGAAAATGAAATCCTGCTATTTGTAACAACATGGATTATGTTATTATGACAAGTGAAATAAGCCAGACACAGAAAGACAGACACTGCATAATCCCCACATGTCCTGGGAGGCATTCAGTGGAAGGTAACTGAACCATAGAGATGGTTACCCCCATGCTGTTGTTTTCCTGGTAGTGAGTTCTCATGAGATCTGATGGTTTTATAAAGGGCTTTTCCCTCTTTGCTCAACACTTCTTCCTGCCATCATGTGAAGAAGGATGTGTTTGCTTCCCCTTTCGCCATGATTGTAAGTTTCCTGAGGCCTTCCCAGCCCTGTGGAACAGTGAGTCAATTAATCATCTTTCCTTTATAAATTACCCAGTCTTGGACATTTCTTTATAGCAGCATGAGAACGGACTAATACAGTAAATTGGTATCACAGAAAGTGGGGTGCTGCTGCAAAGATACCCAAAAATGTAGAAGAACTTTGGAACTGGGTAACAGGCAGAGGTTGGAACTGTTTGTGGTGGGGGCTTACAAGAAGATAAGAAAATATGGGAAAGTTTGGGACTTCCTAGAGACTTGCCAAATCACTTTGACCAAAATGCTGATAGCGACATGGACAATGAAGTCCAGGTTGAGGTGGTCTCAGATGGAGATGAGGAACTTTTTGGGAACTGGAGTAAAAATGACTCTTGCTATGCAAAGAGACTGGTGACATTTTGCCCCTTCCCTAGAGATCTGAGGAACTTTGAACTTCAGTTAGATGACTTAGGGTATCTGGCAGAAGAAATTTCTATGTGGCAAAATATTCAAGAAGAAGCAGAGAATAAAAGTTTGGAAAATTTACAGCCTGACAGTGCGATAGAAAAGAAAACCCCATTTTCTGGAGAGAAATTCAAGCAGGCTGCAGAAATTTGCATAAGTAACAAGGAGCCGAATGTTAATCAGCAAGACAATGGGGAAAATATTTCCAGGTCATGTCAGAGACCTTCACAGTAGCCCCATCCATCACAGGCCGGGTAGCCTATGAGGGAAAAATGGTTTCCTGTGCTGGACCTAGGGGCCCCCTGCTCTCTGCAGTTGGGACATGGTGTCCTGTGTCCCAGCTGATTCAGCTCCAGCCAGGGCTAAAAGGAACAAAGGTACATCTCAGGCCATTGCTTCAGAGGGTGCAAGCCCCAAGCCTTGGCAGCTTCCAGGAGGTGTTGGGCATCTGTGGGTGCACAGAAGACAAGAATTGATGTTTGGGAACCTCCACCTAGATTTCAGACGACGTATGGAAATGCCTGGATGTCCAGGCAGAAGTCTGCTGCAGGGGCGGAACCCTCATAGAAAACCTTTACTAGGGCAGTGTGGAGGGGAAATGTGGGGTTAGATCCCACACAGGGTCCCCACTGGGCACTGCCTAGTAGAGCTGTTAGAAAAGGACCACCATTCTCCAGACCCCAGAATGTTAGATCCACTGACAGCTTGCACCATGTACCTGGAAAATCCACAGACACTCAATGTCAGTCATGAAGGCAGCCTGGAGGGGGACCATGTCCTGCAAAGCCACAGGGGTGGAGCTTCTCAAGGTGGTGGGAGCCCAACACTTGCATCAGCATGACTTGGATGTGAGACATGGAGTCCAAGGAGATCATTTTGGAACTTTTAGTTTTAATGATTGCTCTATTGGATTTCAGACTTGCATTGAGCCTGTAGCTCCTTTATTTTGGCCATTTCGTCTCATTTGGAACTGGTGTATTTACCCAATCCCTGTACCCCCAATGTATCTAGGAAGTAACTCCTTTGCTTTTGATTTCATAGGCTCTTAGGTGGAAGGGACTTGCCTTGTCTCAGATGAGACTTTGGACTTGGACTTTTGGGTTAATGCTGGAATTAGCTAAGACATTGTGGGAATGTTGGAAAGGGCACAATTATCTTTTGAAATGTGAGGAGATGAGATTTCAGAGGGACTGGAGGTGGAATGATATGGTTTCGCTCTGTGTCCCCACCCAAATCTCATCTTGAATTGTAGTTCCCATAATCCCCAGGTTTCATGGGATGGACCCCATGGGAGGTAATTGAATCATGGAGACGTTACCCCCATGCTATTCCCGTGATAAGTGAGTGAGTTCTCCCGAGATCTGATTTTACAAGGGGCTTTTTCCTTTTTGCTTGGCACTTCTCCTTCCTGCCATCATGTGAAGAAGGGTGTTTTTTTTCCTCTTTTCACCATGATTGTAAGTTTACTGAGGCCTCCCCAGCCAAGCAGAAGTGTGGGTAAGTTAATCCTCTTTCCTTTATAAATTACCCAGTCTCAAGCAGTTCTTTATAGCAGCATCAGAATGGACTAATACACCTCTGAAAAAAGTTGTGTAAAATAGAATGCTGCTGTATTTATTACAGGAGAAATAGAATGTCAAAGACATGGGACCATTTGTGTCTTTTGATAAGTTTATTCTTTCTGTATTTCAAAATGTCACAAATAAATGAAATTATAAACAAAAAAGTTTGTAACTTAAAGTCTGAACAAAAGGGTTTTGATGGACTAAATAAAGGCCTCTCTTCTCTCATTGTCTGAAATGCTGTCTAGGTAGCTGGACATTATTATGGTTAGTTATCTAACCAAATATACCTCCTTAAAACATTCAGGCTTGTTAAAAACATAAATGTTATTGTTATTGCCAGGGATTTAGAAGATATGTTTCTGATCTTGAAAATTTTGATTTTGATTTTCCTTTTTTTTCCAATTCAAAAAAAGGAAGCGGAAAGTTTGAGATAGTTACTCATATAGTTTCTGGTCCCCTAAACATTGTTGGAGATACCCTATTACTTATCATTTTTTTTTAGAATCCCTAGAGAGTGATTCTGATGCAAGTATACCCATAAATAGAATATAATCAATTATATCACTGGTGCAGTCCAGTTATTATGATCAATTATTATTTATTTCTTGTAATCATTCCTTATTTATTTTAATAGCTTTCTATAACCTTACCTTCATAACTTAAATAACTTAAATTTTGACGTTTGCTTGCAATCATCTATTTTCTGGCTATTCCTTAGGGCAGATAATTTTCATAAATAGCTGAATTTATCCTTTGAGGGTTTTAAAATTATGTTAAATTTCCATGTTTATCTGCAAGTTATGGATTATGTCACTTTACCATATCACTCCTTTCTGCTGACAAGCATTAACATCTATGGGTGATTTTGTAACAACAGCAAACATCGTCATTGTAGTATTCTCTGCCTTGGACTTTGTAAAGTTAAGGAAGTGATGTAGTAATATTTACTAGTTGTGTGATTTTGAATGTTAATTATTATTAACATTGGATATTAATTTATCCAAACTCAAATTTCTTTCACCAGATTATAGGGAAACTTACAATTGCCTAGTTGATTTTCCATATGAATTAGGGATAATGTGTATTAAATTACCAAAAATAATGATTGGCATTTGTTACATATTATCAACTGAAGAGTGAAATTTGGAAAGGAGCGCTTTATTACTCATAAAATATTGCAGCCTTCAGGGTTGCCATTCTGACTGGCTGGGAAGCATAGCCTCCAGCCAGAAGTCAGAAACAGATACTTCAAGGGTGGGAAGAATAAGATAGTAATTTATGCTGAATGAGGTAGCCAAATATAAATGTTCAATAAGCTATGGGAGGAGTCGTAAATGTTCACAAATGGAGAAACATGCACATGTGCAATTGAGCTTCATGCCTCTCCACAGGACCCATGTTCAAAAAATGGTGACAACAGCATGAACTCAGGGCACTCTCTGATGTTAAAAAGTGAAGCAGAAGGCATGAACACCCTCACTGCACTGTGCATTCTCTCTAGACTGTCTAGAACCACTCCGTGATCAGTGGTCTCTTAGGCAAAAAAGGAAGGGCAGCATCAGGCGATTGGTTGATCTCAGTGGCTAAATCCTTTTTTTTTTTTCCCCCTTTGGATATAGAGCCTTTTGGTTTGTTTTCTTTTTCCTTTCTTTTCTTTTTATTAATTTCCATAGGTTATTTGGGAACAGGTGGTGTTTTCTTACATGAGTAAGTTCTTTAGTGGTGATTTTGGTGCACACATCACCTGAGAAGCATACACTGCACACTATTCGTAGTCTTTTATCCCTTACCCCTTCCCATCCTTTCCCCCTGAGTTCCCAAAGTCCATTGTGTCATTCTTATGCCTTTGCATCCTCATAGCTTAGCCCCCGCTTATTAGTGAGAACATATGATGTTCACAAACACACACACACACACACACACAATGGAATACTACTCAGCTGTAAAAAGGAATGAATTAATGGCATTTGCAGCAACCTGAATGAGATAAGAGATTATTATTCTAAGTGAAGTAACGAAGGAATGAAGTCTTTTTTAAAAGGACTGGTTTCTGTTTAACCTTCAGGGAAGAAAGCCTAATAGCTGTTAGCCACCTGGGAGGGGATATAATGAGGGGTCTGTAACCTCCTATCTAGTCCTGACAGGCAACTCAGCTTTCATGGTCTCTTTGTAGCCCAGTTGGCCAAGAGATGGTCTGTTCAGTTGGTTGGGATGCTTAGAATTTTATTTTTATTTATCAATATTATGATTGTTGCAATGAATGATAATATATTATCATTAAAAATAATAAAAAGCCCTTAATTCAGTTACCTTAATTAGGTAATTTAATTAGAAATACTCCTGCTAGTATTTTGAAAGATGGTCTTGAAACACAGAAGAAATTATGTAAAGATTATAGAGACTGTTTATATAATTTTTTGATTTAAAAAACTCATTTCAATTAATTGGTTTTAGTACAGGTCTCGTCATTCCTTAAGTACTGCTCTTAATTATTTCCTTACTTGGATTGGCTAGTGGTTTTTCTCTTCTTATGAATTTTATGAAATAAACCAAGGTCAAGTTTAAGGTAGAAAAAGATGCTTTTAGAGAAGGCAAAGTAGGGTCTTAAATATGGAATTTGTATGACAACTTATCTTGCCCTTTGCTTCTGTTTCAGGGGTATACTTCTTATAAAATATTTGCTGACAAGGAAGAAACACAATTTCAGGTTCTTGTAAATAGCCAAGAGTATTTGTAGTCAGTTTTCCCAAACGCATTTGCTTTGTATTGTACAAAGTCGCTATTGTCTATCATTAACATATCATTAACAATCATATTATGTGAACACTTAATAATTATGTACCTTCATGCTGAGACTCCTTGACTTACCATATGTACAATGAAAATGTTGAATCAGCTTTTTTAGTACAAGGTCATTGACAGGCCATGTGGGAGACACTGACTGATAAGAATGGAATCTTCTCACTCAGCCCAATGCTCCACCAAAGGGAGATTTTCAGTTTGCTTCTTATTAGCACGATTCACAACTGAGAAGTGTGAATGATCTTATGGTTCACTTCTCTGATGTGTTGGAGTTGGCCTGCATGGGTTTGCAAAAGCTGGCTCTTAAAATTTTAGAAAACTTGCCAGCTGGTTTTTGAATACTTGGTAGCTTGAAATTGGTTATAATGTGAATACTTACACCACAGAAACTGGAAAATGCCTCTGCCCTTCTATTCCCCAAAGATCTTATTGTTAAACATTTATTAGCACATCTGGTTTACTTCCACAACTTTAGTACTCAGCTATTACCGGAAAAGTCCCTGATGAATGTATTTGTTCTTTACTATGAAGTTTCAAGTGACAGAAATTAAAAAAAAAAATACTGCAGAAACTACACTGCTCTGGGTATAACTTCCTTTGAACAGTTAAAAATTTCCCACAGTCTGGCCAGGCATGGTGGCTCAGGCCTGTAATCCCAGCACTTTGGGAGGCCAAGGTGGGCATATAATGTAAAGTCAGAGGTTCAAGACAAGCCTGGCCAACATGGTGAAACTTCATCTCTACTAAAAATACAAAAATTAGCCATGCATGGTGGCATGTGCCTGTAGTCCCAGCTACTCGGGAGGTTGAGGCAGGAGAATCACTTGAACCCACGAGGTGGAGGTTGCAGTGAGCTGAGATCATGCCACTGCACTCCAGACTGGATGGCAGAGTAAAACTCTGTCTCAAAACAAAAACGAAAACAAAAAATTTCTCACTAGTCTAAGTAGATGGAAAAAGAAATAGTTTTTTTCCAATTATGAGTTTACCACAATTTGGCTCTTCTAGGTCCAAAGTACTAACGCTTTCTATTTAAAATCGTATTTCGGAAGATAAAGTTTTAAAAAAATTTTAAAGGCAATGACAAAAAAAAAGATTTTAGTATTATTACCAAGTGACCTAGATATAAAATTTTATCCATTAATGCAGCATCATGAACTTCCTATAATTTCCTTTCTGGTCTCAGATGAAGGGATTATGGGTTATTGCCACCTAAGAAAGCATGGGATCAGAGTCTTAAAATAAATCAATATTCATGTGGTCTAAAATGATTCCTCCTGTAATAAAGTCGTACCATTTTCAATCAAAAATATAATTCAAACGGGGAATTGGCAAAATTCCAATGCTTGCTGTATGGTTAGTGGTTTTACAATTAATTCCTTGTATCATAGTGCGTGATCCTTGGATTAATGTCCCTGATGGTTAGTCATTTTGTTAATTCACCTGTCCATCAGGACTCAATTGTGATACCTTATTCTTCCTTCAGATGGTTTAAATTTTACAAGAGAATACAATTCTCATCTTCTAAAGGTGCATTAGATATCGTCATCTACCAGGGTCTTATTTATTGAAAGACCTTCCAAGAAAATAGGAAATTTTCTTCCTCTTTCTGCTTTTTCAAAACAGTTCATTTTCATATATCAAAACCGGCTCATTATAACAAGTGAAATGATAGAGATGAACAGAGAAAAAGCTAATAATTCCCACCTAAGTCCCTCTTAATGATTACCTTTCTGTCATAACAACTTTTTATATACATATATTATTTCATATCATTTTCCAAGTTATAGCCAAACAAATGGATATAACTCATTATCATTTTGTTGAGGTTTTATTAAGGTAGAAGCACAAAATAAACCTCGTTTTATGAGTTTGTTTCTTTTTTTTAACATAAAATGTATTATGGATATCACTCCTGGGCAATAGATACTGATCCTACTCATTCTTAATGGCTACACAATGTTCCATAATATAGATGTATCAATGTTTTCAACTATTCATTTATTTATAAACCTTCAGATTACTTTTTCATTTTATCTCTTCTACAAGAAATGCTGTGTTAAAGATCCTTGCCTGTGTGTAGGTGTGTGTGCATGTATACAGTTATTTCAGTAAAAAAAAAATTCCAGAAGAGTTACTACTATAAATTTTTAAGTAGGTATTACCAAATTGTTTTTCAAATAATTGTATCAGTTGATAGTCTCACAAGTAAACTTTTAGGAACCATTTACTTTCAATGGCCAAAAGAAATTGATACTATTACCAAGTGATTTAAATGTAGAATTTCAACCATTAATACGGAATTATTAAAAGGATATGAGAATGAATTTCTCCACATGTTATCAAGTGCTGGATTTTATTGTTCCTGTTCATTTTTACTGGATTCAAAAGCCCAAAGTTTGCTATTTTACCATTCAAGCTTCTGAGTCCAGCAAATACCAATTTTAATATATGCCAATCTGATAAGAAAAACATGATCTTCATGTCCACTAGTGAGATTTAACATCTTTTCATATACTAAGAGTCTATTTTGAATTTTATTTTGTCAATTATGTTTCAGTTAATTCCCTTTAATCTTTTAATTTTTGAGTTTTATTTCATCTTATAAATTTATGAGTTTCCTTTGTTTATCAAATATATTAACAATTTGCAGTATAGTGTCATGGTTACAAGCACAGACTGGTGTCAGACTACCTGCCTTCAAATCCTGTCTTCCACATCTCTTACCAGTGTGTCTTTAGGGAAGTGTCTTGTCTTCCCTGTTGTCCAGTTTCTTCATTTATAAAATGGAAAGAATACCAAGACCTCCCTCACTGGGCTGTTTTGAGGAAGAAGTGTTAGCTATTAATATATACACATTTTCCCCTTGTGATTTTGTTTGTCTTTGAACTTTGGGATATCTTTCATTTTACCAACTTAAAGGTTTTTTTGTTGTTAAATATGTCTAATTTGTTTTATGGATTATGCATTTTCTTTCATTTAAAGATCTCTCCCACTCCTAACTCTTTTATTGTTCAGGTATTAACTTTATTTTTTATTTTTTATTTTTTTGAGACAAGGTCTCAGTCCGTCACCAAGGCTGGAATGCAGTGGTGTGATTATGACTCACTGCAGCCTCCAGCTCCTGGGCTCAAGTGATCCTGCCACATCAGCCTCCTGAGTAGCTGGGACTACAGGTGTGTGCCACCATTCCCAGCTAATATTTTTTAATTGTTTACCATCAGTTTTATAATTTTTCTGTGTATTTCCTAAGTTTCTAAATAACTAGTAAATTACAGGATAACCAAAGCTATGCTCAGTGATTGCTGGTGCTAGATTGCATATATGAAATAGCTGTAAAACAAGAAGTAATTAAAATAGTAAATAATTTTCATTATTATAGATTTTGAAACTAAGGCAAAATTGCTACATTGAACATTACAATTTAAAAGTACACATCAAAGAAGCATTTATTATTTTATTTATTTGAGGTCATTTTCACCAAACTAGCAACTTCATGGGTACAAAAACATTGAATGGCATATAGTTTCTGATTTTGTGTCCCTGGTTAATGACAGGAAGCACAGAACTCAAACCTCGTACACAAGGAACCCATCTTACTATGGCTTTCCTATCCAAGCATTGCCTCAACAAAACGTACTCACATTTAGCCCAATTCATTCTTTTTCAGGCATGTGGAATAATGATATTCAGATTTTCTATGAAAACTGATATTTCCCACACTCACTTCTTTGCACTGCAGTTTAAGAGTGTATGAACACTACTTACCCTTTGGTCATCCATGTTTGAAAGACATATTTGGGCTTTCACATTTTTCTGTCACCTAGTTAGTGTAAAACTTGTCTGTATTCCTCCAGCTTAATTAAGATCAACTGTGCTTAACAAAGTCATTGATTTCTTCTTTAACATTAAATCGTATTCCAAAAGAATCGCCAACTTCTCTTGATACATACAATTTAATTCAGGTATAATTATAACAGTTTTATGGTATATTGTTTTTATAAAATTAAATAGAATGTTTCTTACAGAATTTTGTAAAAGACGTTCTGGTTGTGATTTCTATAGTAAAGCTGTCAGAAAGCTGGTCTGTCGAATGAATAAGTGACATTACTGTAGTCAAAACTACACTTTTATTGCTTTTACCTCCTTGTTGTATTTATAGTACCTAGTCATAATTTCTAATTTGACAGACACTTGAGTCTTGTTGCTGTACTCAGTGGTGTTTCTTGTCACTCTCTCTTTACCTCAGGTGCTTTCATTTCTGCATTTGACTCCAGTATCTAGAAAATCATACATAATGGCAATTTACACTGAATAATAAAGTAGACTTGTGTGAATTTTTTCTTGAGCTATTCATTTTGAACTTCAAGTCAATATTAATAATATCAACATTAAAAGTAAACTAATTTGCAACTGAACTTTGCAGCAGGGATCAAGGAAGAGTTTTGCATAAATGTTACTATATTATTTTTCAGTATCATAAATTTTTGATTGTTTTTGGCTATAGTCATAGTTTTTCCTGTTTCAGATGATCACTTTTGATTTCCTTCCTCTTCTCTTTTCTTCCTTCCTTCATTTTTTCCTTCAATCGCTTTTCTTCTTTGCATTTCTTGCTCTCTCTTTCTCTCTCTCTCTCTGGTTTAATATAATTGATTGTATACTCTTATGCACTCAGAAAAAAGTCTTAAAACCTCTTATCTGAACTGATACTTTGTATTGAAGAGAGTAATATGAAAATTGTAGGCAGAAATTGAAGATCTTACCTAATTGGATGTTGAATGTTGGTCCTCCCTTGTCTCAGATGGGGAGAATATAGGTAACAGGTTTTGTCTATGTTGAAGTGTTATTTGTCACTCACTATTCAATTACAGTACTCATATATGGCTTTAACCTCTTTTAACCTGCACAATTACATTTTCACAACTATAGCTATGGTGCCACTTAAAATGTGGTTATTTGTCTTAAAATTGTTCACCAAATTTCATGTGGAATTCTAAGCCTGATCTCCTTGGAGATTTGAGTCATTTGATAGGTAGAAGTTCATAAGTAGTTAGCCTGGTTCTCTCCTGCTGTGTTCTTCTCTTCTCTGGCATTTGCCCTGTATTTTAGGAAATTAATTGCTGTCTTATATGTGCCTATTATACAAGAATAAAATAATTCTCATATATTCATATATACTTATATATAATATAAATATATATTATTACTAATATATATTTATATATTATTTGAAACCTTATATATTCTTACTATATATGAATAAAACACTTTCTGGAGAGAAAAAAAACAGACATCAGAGTCGTGCCTGGGATAGCCTATTTGATAAATATTTGTTGCATTATTTCCTACATGAATGATGGCACAATACATTTTCTTTTAAAGATTAGCATTTCAGAGAGATGCTCAGACCATACCACTTCTAAGGAAATGATTGTGGCTTAGAAAGGAAGGAAAGAGGAACAAGAAGTAGTAAAGGATGGTTAAGCACTGAGTAAGCTTTTTTTTCATTTTTGTTATCTGGCATAAAGCATTAGGAAAAAACAACTCTATTTTTCCAGATGTCCCAGTCTTTCAACTGACATATTTACAGCTAGAGCACGCTTATTCATTTATTTATTTATTTTTGGAGTGGAGGAAGAGGAGGTAGTCAGGTGGTTTACAAAAGGTGGATTTCTAAGTCTCTGTCAACATAGACCAACCCTGCTGGACCTCATACTTTTTCCCCTTCCTCCCTGTCATCCTCATTTTTTTCCTTTCTTTAAAACTACATTTTGAATGTCTACTTGAATACCTGTTCAAGGCATTGATACTTATCAGTAAATACAATGGCCAAGAACTTTGCTACCATGTAGTCATTACCTTCTACAACAGGAAGAAAACTAAAATAAAGCAAACACTCAAATACCAAAATTTAAGATAGTAATAATTACTATTATAAACAGAGTAATGAGTTAAAGAGTGATGGGGTGAAAGTGATGTTAAGTGTTGACTTAGATTGACTGGCTATGGAAGACCTTCTTGAAAAGGTTAATTTTGAGGGATGACTTGACCAAGAAAGTTCGGTTATGGGGAAATCTGTGGCAGAGGGAAGAATCCTTCTGAGGAAAGGCTGAGTACAAAGAGGAGGCTTATGTGACTGGAACTTGGAAAGTGAAGACAAGAATGGTGGAAAGTGAAGACAAGAATGGTAGAAAGTGAAGGTCCAGGTTTTCTAAACCTTGAAGACTCCTGTAAGTTCAATGAGAAGCCAAAGGGCTGTTATAATAGCAAAACGCTAAGATCTGATTTGTAGTTTGGATGCTATATGGAAAAGGGGTTAGGTATAGGTTAAAAGAATGAGCACCGGGATTGGGGTGATTAGGTCCATCAGTAATATTTGTGGGCCTAGCGCAAGAGGAAAAATGGAGGGAAATAAATGGGATGGAAGGTTAATCACATGTCACAACAAGGTTGGATCTTACCAGTTTTGTCTAATTCCTGATATCAACTTCACCTCTAAGCAGTTAGAAGTGGGGGAAAGACTGCCCACCCGCTTCCTTTGTCCAGTGAAAAGTCTCACACATGCGAGTGAACACTGTAGCTATTTAGGCAGGAAATTCCATGGTCCTTTGCATTTGGAAAATATGGCAGCCAGGGAAACCTTCCCCTTATTGCTCTGGAGGTTTGCTGCAAAAAATCAATCAGAAAAAGGTGAGGGGTAGAGCTGCACAGGAACAAGTGTATAATTATGCAGATTCATTTCCTCAAGTAATTTCTTGGCGCTGCTCTTAGAAGAATAGATGAAAGCTCTGTCTGGATGTGGTGATAACTCCAAGTCTCTTCTCAGGTGGTTGATTTTTCCTGGTTATTTGATGAGATCACTTAGGGTGAGGATTTAAGACAATTGTATTTCTTTTGGAAAGAAGCTTTCTTGGTCAGATGAGGAAATTCCAAAGAGACTCTCTCCCTGTAATTGGAAGTGGAGATGCAAGACAAGGTTAGAGGAGCATTGATTCTGAGTCATCTTCAAAAGCCTCTCAGTATATCAGAGTGCCAGTCTTTGGGATATTGCTTTTTGAGTCCCAACAAAAGGGATGGATAAGTGGGTTTGTGAACTTTCAAGGATGTAAACACTTGGTCTCAAAGATTCCTTGTCCTGTAGCATAGGATAAATGTAGAGGTGGGCAAAATTGGGCCCAGTAAAGCCTGAAGCCCAGGGGCACATACCCTGGTTGCTGAGCTCTAAGGGAAGTGTCATTACTGATAACATTAAACATAGAGAAAAGTAGAGAGGTGCTATGTATGTTTAGAAGTAAAATCAACCAAGTTGAAAACGGGGTTTGAGGAAAATAGACAGTATGTGTCTTCTTAGAGCTTATGATGTAGCAAGGAAAGGAGACGTAAGGTCAGGGGAAGACCTGTTAAAATTGAATACAGCAAAGAAAATCCCTCCTGCCTCCAGTCCTAGATGCCTTTTTCTTGCAGTATTTTTGATATGACACTGAAATAGGACTAAACTTCTGTAGGAAAAGCATAATACCAACCAAATCTCAAATAGTCAACATAATACTTTTCCAGAAAATAAATGGGATCGAAGGTTAATAACCTGTCACAACAAGGTTGGATCTTACCAGTTTTGCCTAATTCCTGAAATCACCACATACCTCTAAGCAGATAGGAGTGGGGGAAACACTATAACAAGAATAGGTTCATTGCCTGATGCACACAGCAAGTCAATACACTAAGACTCTGGGTTGCAACAGAGGAAGAGGTTTAGTCATCGTGTCACTGAATGAAGAGATGGGAAGAAACCTCAAATCTATCTTCCAGGGGAATTTGGGGTTAGGGTTTTAAAGGTTTTGGAGTGGGCTAAAGTGTGAAGATCGTTGATTGGTCAAAGAGTGCAGGGAGAAGTCATGGGACAGGGAGAGGAAGAAGCTGTATTTTCATGCTGGTCCCATTTCTCTGAGGGGGTCCTCCAACTTGTTGCTGGAATTTGGAGTCCAAAAAACATCTTAAGCGATAGATTCTTAAACAAAAGCTTTATGATTGTAAAGTCAGAGATCCTGTCTATAGGAACAATGGGGATGAAAGTCAATTCTTAAACAGTCTTATGACCCCAGTGTCAGGAATCCTGTCTGTAGGAACAGTGGGGATACAAATGGTCAGTAACCAATGCTAACATGACTTTCAGCGCCAAGAAAATAGGTCAAAATGCAGCCGGATTGATGCTTAACTATAACTATATTTCTGTCCAGAAAGTGGCATGCAATTCTTATCAACCCTGGGGAGGGGGCAGTTTCAAGACTAAAGAGATAGGGAGGCCAAAAACAGTTTGCTCAGACCATCCAATGACTGGAGCTCAGAGTGAGGGCTACAGTTCCTTGAAGGACTAGGAAAGCAAGGAAAAACCCTCTTCATTTATTTAAAAACTCATTAATTAATTAATTAAAACTATACCATTCGAAGTCACTGCTGGGCACAGAGAAGTGTTAGTGGAATTTACATTGTTTCTGACTTTATCGATGTCCAGTGTAATAAAGGCATTCAGTGGGGGTGTGAGGGATGAAGAGAGGTGAGGCTGAGTAGAGGCAGAAAGGAGCCCAGTGGCAAATGGCCAATGAAGGAAGCAGGCCACTGTGGAGTGGGGTTAGAGTAGAAGCAAGTGATGTGATGTGTTTTATTATTCTGTACTATTAAATTTTTGGTCTAAATCTCCTTGATTTCCTCCCCAGATCAAGAAGTTGATTTCCTGTCTTTGAGGAGCTTGGTCAAGGGATCCTAATTTCAAACATTATGAAATGCAGGGGTGGACAAAGAAGTACATCATTATTACAAAAACTAATCTAGAAAATGACACAGATTAAGTGTGCAAGTAAAGAGAACAACTGAGGCATTTATCAATATTCTATCCCAGAAAAAGAGAAACGTTCCAGAGTCTCTTGGGGGAGGTCAATTCTCAGGCCAGTGGTTTAATAATACAAAACAACATTAACATAGCAGCCCATTTCATTAACTTTGATTACACTCCTCTGGATGCTTACTTGCCCTTAGTGACTGTTAGTAAGATGTTTTCCCTATATTTATTAGGAAAGCAACCTTTATGTTAAAGATCTGCAAATAAAATAATGTGTTGAAATATGGGGATATTTTGAAACTGCTTAGGTATGGTGAAAGTTAATGATTTCAGTTACATCTTTATAATTACTGTCATCAGGTTTCTACCTTTATGGCTTCTTAATTGTTTAAAGATCATAAAACAGAAAATTTAGCACAAGCTTGAGAAAGATATTTTATGGTATAACATAATTTTATATTGATATTATCACTATAAAAAGATTAACAATGGATTTTACTTTCTACACCTTTGATTATTATTTTAACTATAATATACTATGTAGTCTGTAGCATAACATTCCTACTAAACAAACACTCTGTTTTTATTTAGAAACAAGCATTTTTTAAGGTTTTAACTTTTACCAGGCTTACCCTGTTGATGCAAAATAAGGAATGGGGGGTCTGGTAGTACATGAAGGGAAAAAGACAGGGTGACACTTCCCACTGGGGAAAGTCAAATTTACCCCTCAGAAATGTGGCAGTGAAGGGTTTTGTTTGTTTGTTTGTTTGTTTTTAGATAGGGTTTCACTCTTGTCCATCTGGAGTGCAGTGGTACAATTTCAGCTCACCGCAACCTTGACCTCCCAGGCTCAGGTGATCCTCCCACCTCAGCCTCCAGAGTAGCTAGGACTACAGGCCTGTGCCACCATATCCAGCTAATCTTTGCATTTTTTTTGGAGACAGGCTTTCGCCATGTTGCCCAGGCTGGTCTCTAACTCCTGCGTTCAAGTGATCTTCGAAGTTTGGCCTCCTAAAGTGCTAGGATTTACAGGTGTGAGCCATCATGCCCAGCTGGAATGGTTCCTTTCAGGCTAAATAATTCTCTTTTGGTCAAATTCATTTGCTTCATTCTAGTGTATTGAGACTGTACTCATGAAACCAGATGGCTATCATAATCCCAAAAAACAAAATCCTAAATATAAATATCGAAATCCTGAAACCCAAATTCTGGGGAAGGTATTATTGCATTTTCAGTTGTATGCAGGATGGTTGCTTCATGTTAGTTTCATCACATTAAGTGAAATTATTACTTTGTGCATTAGTCTGTTCTTTCATTGCAATAAAGAAATACCTGAGGCTGGGTAATATATAAAGAAAAGAGATTTAATTGGCTCACATTCTGCAGGCTGTACAGGAAGTGTGGCGTGGGCCTCTACTTCTGGTGAAGGCCTCAGGAAGCTTACAATAATGGTGGGAGGCAAAAGGATAGTAGGCGTGTCACATGGCAAGAGTAGAAGCCAGAGAGAGAAAAGGAGGAGATCTTAGACTCTTAAACAACCAGATCCTAAGTGAACTGAGCAAGAACTCACTCATCACCAAGGGGACTGCACTAAGCCATTCATGAGGGATTCACCATGATCCAGTACCTCCCACCAGGCCCCATCTCCAGGACCAAAGATCACATTTCAACATGAGATTTAGAAGGGGCACACATCCAGACCATATCACTTTGTTATTGTTTTTATTTGGAAATAAAATATAGTTTAAAGACATATGTATGCATACCAAGTTGACAAGGGCTATTCTGACTTGTGGGACTTAATTTTGGATGTCAACTTGAGTGGATTAAGGAATACCTAAAAACCTGGTAAAGCATTATTTTGGGTGTGTCTGTGAGGGTGTTTCTAGAGGATATTAGTGTGTGAGGTTGAGCAGACTAGATGGGACATGCTGTCAGTGTTGGAGAGCACCATCTAATTGGCTGGGCCTGGAGAGAATGAATACAGAAGGTGAATTGTCTTTCTTTGAGACATTCTTCTGCTGCCTTGGAAATTAGAGCTCTGGACTGACTCACTAGGCTTTGGACTCCAGGACTTACACCAGTGGTAACCTGGGTCCTCAGGCTTTCAGAGCCCTCTGACTGAGAGTTACACCATTGGCTTCCCTGGTTCTGAGGCCTTGGGACTTGGACTGAGCCATACTATCGGCATCCCAGGGTCTCCAGCTTGCAGATAGCCTGTCATGGGACTTCTCAGCCACCATAATTGCATAAGTCAATTCTGCTAATAAGTCCACTATATCTATATACATGTCATATTGGTTCTGTCTCTCTGAAGAGCCCTAATTCAGATTTGGTACTGGGAAAGCTGAATATCATTTCTTCTTACTGTATTCCTTACAACATAATGGAAGAGAGCTGTGAAATTGTTCTCTTGCAAAAAGGCTGTGATAAGTGAAGGAGTCTACTTAATGGTAAAGATAAAAGCTTAAAAGTGAATTATTATTGGTGCTATGAAAGCAGAAAATCACTTAATTGAAATGGCAGAGCAATAACCAGACTGTCAAGTGGACAGCATCTACTTACAAAATTTGTCGATCACAACCACTCTGCTAATCTATATGCCGTGGTTTAAAGATCACAGAAGAGGAGAAAATGCAGGTGAAAAAATACAAGAAATCTCCCCTGCCAAGTTATTTAATCATATATTAATTCTACTCCTCCACACATAATGCCAATTTGATGTGCTATGTATTTCATCTTTGCATCATTTCCAGTACTGAGATATATATTGTACGAAGATTTTTAGAGTTTTAATTTATCTTATACATTTTTGCGAAATTGACTCCACAAAAGTGAGTTAACACAATGTTGACTTCGTGTGTAAGCACTGTGCATGTACATAAAAAACACTGAAACTTAATAAATGAAAAGATGTCTTTTTTGTACATCGGCATTTGTGAAATACATTTCTTGATATCCTGGCTTTATTGGCAACTGCATATGGAGTGGTGACACAATAAAGTTTTTGGTCAATGTCATCAAGATTTTGGTTGTCTGTCCTGGTATTTCAGATGAACACAGTTATAAAGCTGGGTGCACACAATTACCAACCGTAGTAATATGTATTTATACATTTCACTTTTTAACTTTTTTATCACTATGGTTTGTCTGCTCGTAACTGTTATACCCTTATGACTGTTGTTAGTATACCTGAATGTTTATGCTTGCAAAATATGTATGTTATTATTGCCTATTTTATGGTTAATGTAGCCTATAAAGTGTTCTGTTGTGTTTGCATATTATTCTCAAATATCTCCCTTTAAAAATGTAAATATGTGTCTTTCAAATAATTTTTTAAAAATGTCCAGAATTATATTTTTGAAATTTTGATCTTTTGGGACTTCAGCATTTGGGATTATGGTGTTTGGAATTATATCTTTTGTGACTCTGGCCCAAACCCCATGAAAATGTGTGTGTGTGTGTGTGGTGTATTCATATCAGGGAAACGACACACTAGAAAGTGTGAATTTAAGCTTATGTTCAAAATTTCAACTACCACCTACGCATTTTATAACTCTGAAATGTTTATATTCAAAACAGTCCATGCCCTCTCCTGAGACCCACACATATTTCCTAGAGGCAGCACTATTGTGGATAAGAGCAGGGATTTTGAAGTAAGATAGTTCTAACCGTGTCATATCCCAGCTGTGTAACCTTGTGTGAGTTACTCACCTCTTTGTGCTTCACTCAGTTTCATTTCATAAGTTTTATAAAAATTAAGAGAGTTAATATATATAAAATGCTCACATCAGTGTCTGGTAATAGTGCTATATAAATGATCACATTTATCATTATTAATATCATATCTTACTGTCTATTGCACATCTCCATCATCAGGATGTCTCACAAACAACGAAACTTAGTGTGTTCTCAAATTAACTTTATCTTCTCGTCTCTACCTCTCTCCCAATCACCTCCTCTTCTGTATACTATATGTATACTCTTGGCCAAGTCAGTTATCTTGGTTTCCTTCAAACATTCATCACTCCCAATTCCTAGGGGGTCAGTTATTCTTCATATACTCATCAAAAGCACTTGTCTTCCCAGCTGCTAGTGCTCGAGGCAGACTGGATACCGTATCCAGGAGGCATCATCATGATATCTTCCTGATGACCACTACTTCCAGAAAGAAGGCCCTTCTCATCTACCCTTTACTCTGTCAATAGGAAGTCTTTCTTAAATAGTAAACAGAAATATACAATCCTGCCACTCACATACTTAGAAATCATTCTGTGGATCTCCATTCTTTACAGAACATTTGAACTTCGTGACATGGAATACAAGGCACTCATAGTCACCCCTGTAATTACTTCATCAGCAGCCTCTTGCTTTTGCTCCCATCTCCAGCTGGACCTTGTTAACTCCCTTCACACCCCATTTTTACCACTCCCAAACCCTTGCCCTAAGCAATATTGACCTGACTTCTACCCAGCCTCCACCTCAAAAAGAGTTAGCACTCCTCTCTGCGTTTTCTTGGCAGTCTCTCCAAAATGACTTTTGTCATATTATTTTGTTATTTTTATTTATATATTGATATTTTTTTCTCATTTTGACTATTAGCTCTTTGAAGGCAAGACTATACCGTATTATTTTTGTTTCCTGATACTTAAAGTAGAGCCTGCTATACAGTAGGTGTTCAGTTAATATCTTTTCAATTAGTGAAGAAAGTAGTCTGAGGTAAGTCAGGGAATTGACTGCTGACGACTAACACATCATCACCTGCCCATTATTTCCTATTGAGTGGACCCAGTCAACTCATGCTTTTATTTTCCAGATTCATTGAGGCGAGTATAATCAATTCAAAGTGACAGGTAATTCCTACATACTTATTTATATTTGTATGCTTTTTTCCTACCTTCTGATATTTTAAGGATCCACTTATGAAATAATAAATTTACATTATCAGAAGAAACTTGCTATGAATAGAAGCTTAATAGTGGATTAAAGGCAGAGTTGTTCTGAAATTTTACTTTGCCCTTATTAGCTTTTGACCTTAGGATAGGTGTACCTTCTAAGATACATCTGAAAATTTGACATAATAGTAATACTTTATTTCATGATTGTTGTAAGAAGTAGGATAATGTATTTGCAGTACTTAGTACAATGTTAGACATGAAAGTAAGTATATTGTAAGTATTAGCAATCGTTATTATTTGTTCAACTATAGTAGAAGTATCCTCCCCAATTAGAAAGAAATGATACAAAATTGCTGGTCAAACTAAGCTATATATTTTTTTCTTTATCATCATGAAAATGGTTAAATTTGGGGCATTTTGAGGACCTATTGCATGTCTGATGCTGTGCAAGACTTGGAAAACATATAGCTATTTACTTATGAGAATAAATTCTTTAGTCAATTAGCTCATAGTCTATGGTTTCAAAAATGTTCATCTTTAGAATACATATTAGAAGCAAAAGAAAATAGGAACCTAGCTCAAATGTAAATCAAACTGATGTATCAGTAGAACAAATCACCAATCAACAGATACCTGTTGGGTATCATGCTATGCAGAACTCACAGGAAGAAGTTTCATGCCATTCAGTTAATTATTAGAGAGAGAAACTGGTAGTAATCAAGGTGGGAAACTGGGGGAAGCAAATATAGACCACCTTGTGCTTTATGATGTAAAGGAAATGAGAATGTAGAATAGCTTCATGTGAAGAAAGAGGAAGACCATCACAATGTTTAAAATATTTTCTTTGTTTTCAAATTATTTAACTAAAATTGTCTGCATCAGTGGAGGAAGTCCCCAATATTTAATTCAGTCACCCATTCATTTGTTCATTCATTCAGTAAACACGTACTAAGTATCTAGGCAAGTAGAATACACTGAATCACAATTGGGTGAATGAATGCGTCAATAGCTAGGACTGTCCTCGGTGTTGGTTACAGCCAGTGGAGAAATCAGACAAAGTGCCCTCAGAAAAAAATATATTTTCAAATTAGTAGTATTGTGTGTTACTCTCAATAAACTATCAACTAAGATTTATTGGGTAGTTTAGAGTTGGTGGTTGTGTCAGTGAAGCAGGTTGGGTTCTCGAGGAAGCAGACTCTGAGACAGAGTTTAGCGTTCAGAATATTTATTAGAGAAGGAGCTGAAGCAGGATTGGGCAGAGGGAGAGGTCAAGATGCACTGCAGCATTGGCAGACCCTCCGTGGAGCTCTGGACGTTTAATGGTTACCCAGAGTTGTCCTACCTTGGGTCCAAATGACTGGGCTTTTATAAGAGTGCCTGATTCAGCCACTGGATATTGTCTGCTCCAGAAGAACATAACTTTGAGTGAAGCTGTTCTCTCTCCTGGAAACAATCCCTTAAGGGCAAATAGCTGACTATCCACTGACAGCCCTCCCTGAAGCTGGGGCAGCAAGTCCTTCCTTGACAAGGAAGCTGCTCGGTATAACCCGTGTCTACCATAGTCGCTTTAGGTTTCAGGAGCAATAACCTAAGAACAACTCAAATTGGCTTATATAATAATTAGCTCACATAACTGAAAAGTTGAGAACTAAGTAAACTTTAAATGTGGTTTAGATTAGAGCTCACATCTTGAGGTTTATTTCTTGGTTGATGGATTGATTGTTCCTTTATGAAAGTCTGGTCATACAACCATGGAACAAAAATCCTGATCCTTTCCCCCTTTTTAAGATTTCTAACCCCTAAGGTTCCCTTCTGGTGGGGCATGTCATGTGCACAGTAAGATATTTGACAGAATTCCTGTTCTCCACCCAGTAGGTGCCTATAGCAAACTGGAGGCTTCCTTGTAATTATCTCTCATCCTCCCTGAATGTTGGTGGTAAATATTCTTAACTTCAGTGGAAGGTGGTCACATCATAAGTGCCAGAAGCAGAATTCGATTGTCTGGTGGACACCCATGCTGATTACCTGTTCTCTGCATCACACTAGCTTCACTTAAGAGTCATCGAGAAAGGCAAGAATCAGGCTGGGCACAGATTTTCATGATTGTCTCCAGAACAGAATTAAGGAGAAGGCTAGAAGGGAAATTGCCTTGGTGCCAGACCACAAAAGCCACTAAAATATCACTGGAAACAGTTTGGAGGAAAAAAATCACTAGAATTCCTCTCAGGGAAGGGTACTGCTTGTGGTCAGAAGAAATACTTCCATGAGCCACCTGTCAAGAGAAAGAACCCTCCGATAGGAGCTTGCCAGAGCAGCCCCTCTAGGTCATGTGAGCAAGTAAACTACAGAGCATGAGTTTGGATGAATGAGGCCTCCACTGTGAGCTAGAACTAAATCATTCAGTGGTATTACCACTGGCTGCCTTTCTTCTCAGCCCTGAAGGCAGCCTGTTGGTGCCAGCATTGAGCTTTCTTCTTAAACATATGTCAAACAGGTGTGTTGATTGGAGTCCCATGTTACCAGCTGGGCCAAAGTAATTCTCACCCTATCTCTCAGCCCATAGGGCTTCTGCATGGATGCATCGTATGTATTTTTTTTTCTTTTTGTATTCTGATGATGCAATAAAGCTTAGGCTTCAGAACCCCTCACCAGTATGGGACCCCTTTAAAACCTTGAAAGGGGCCCAGCAATTTATACACATGTGTATTAATTAGTCTTTTCTTATTGCTGTAACAAATTCCCACAACACACAGTGGGTTAAAACACCAATTTATTCTCTTATAGATCTGGAGGTCAGAAGTCTAAAACCAAAGTGTTGGCAGGCCTGTGTTTCTTCTAAAGGCTTCTGGTGGGGTTGGGGAGGGGTTTTTGTTTCCTTGCTTTTTCCAGCTTCTAGAGGCTGGCTGCCTGCATTCCCAGGGTTGTAACTCCTTCTTCACATCATCTCAACCTTTTACTTCCATCTTCGGATCCTCTTTTGTCCCTCCGATCTCCTGCCTCCCTTTATAAAGACTCTTACAACTTCCTTATGCCCATCTCCTGATAACCCAGGATAATCTTCCCATTTCTAAGTGCTTAATTTAATCACATCTGCAGTCTTCTGTTGTAGATAGTGACTTGTAAATTTTGAGGATTAGAAAGTAGACATCTTGGGGAACCATTATTCTGCCCACCACAACACAATCATATGTTTAAGTACAATTTGTAGAAGACATTGCATACACACTCAGTTAAAATGGCCATCCCTAATAACTTCTGATGTCACACTTTACCTAAGGTTTGGTAGTGTTGGATAGTTTCAAGCATTCAGGGTTCTAAGGAGAATTTGGTTTGAGAACACATTTGGTTTGTTTTCATGGGACATATTGATCACAGTCACAGCGTGTATTTTTAAGGTGTTGCTGGCTAGCTGGTGTAGTAATGGCTTCCCAGGAGTAGTCCTACTGCCTGTTATGCTAACTCACTCAACATTGTGCCCTGAAGCTACAGGGCACAATGAAGCCTTGATCCTGGACCAAGGATCAAATTGCAATAAAATCATGTCCTATGGTGCCTGGAACTCTTAAGTATATAGGGAGTGGAGGGGAATCAGTGTTCAAAATACCTGGAGCCTGAAAACAAGTCTGTAGAAAATGATGGGAACCATTAGCAGGTTAAAAATGTAAGTGATGAATTTGTTTTTCATTGACGCCTGGCCAAAATTATCCTTAATTAAAAACCAGTTTTAATCAAACATGCTAGAAGACAGACTGGACTTTTTTTAAAAAAATTGTCTTTATATAAAATGATATTACCAAATATTTGTCATCTGGCGTAACAATTAATGAGTATGCAGCCAAAAATTGTATAGAAAAATTATTTTTAAGCTATGCCAGGCAGTTCATAATAAAAATATTACATTCTTTTGCTTGTTTATTTGTTTTGTTTTGTTTTGATTTTTTGAGACGGAGTTTTGCTCTTGTTGCCCAGGCTGGAGTGCAATGACATGATCTCAGCTCACCGCAACCTCCGCCTCCTGGGTTCAAGCAGTTCTCCTGCCTCAGCCTCCTGAGTGTTCTTATTCTGGTTTATGTGATGTTTGTGGTATTTGTCAATTTCTAATATATATATAAGTATATATATATCTTGTGGTTATTTTATCATCCTACATATTTAATACCTAAATATCTAACTCTTTTTTCTACACCAAATTGTATAAGCTTCACATCTCATAAAATTGGGATCCAACACTGGTTACACTTGTATCAGTCAGGGTTCAGTCAGAGAAGCTGATAAGCTACCGATCAATCTATCTGTCTACCAACCTACCTACCTATAAAGAAACATGTATTATAAGGAATTGGCTTGTGTAATTGTCTGTAGCTGCTGACTAAGCAAGTCTGAAATCAACAGGGCAGGTGGTTAGGAAGGGAAGATCCAGGAAGGGGGAAGCAATTGTAGACCGAGTTGTTGATTGGAATCTCTATCACTGGGAGGAGCCCAGGCCTTCGTAGGGCTTACTTGATTGAGTTAGGCCCATCCAGGATAATCTCCTTCATTTAGTGGCAGATACTCCAGATACTCAGAGACTTTCATTATATATGTACAAACTCCTTAACAGCAGCACCTCAGTTTGTGTCTGATTGAGTCACTGGCAGAGGTGTATGCATGCTACCAAATGATTGCTCTTCCCTTTCATAAGCCTAGTCTAGCCCAGCGGACACAGCAAACACCCATGCCAACACTCAGTGTTATTGGCCAAAGTTGTCTCTTCCTGGAACAGTGAGAGTTGGAAGACTTCTGTTGTCTTGGAATTCATACTCATTACCTTATTAGCTGCATGTGTATTTTAGCTAGTAAAATTTTACAAAGGGAAGCAGGTCAATACCAGTAGTTAGCCACAGGGGCTGTGAAGTCAAACAGCCTGAGTTCAAAGCCAGGTTTCATCATATTCTATCTGTGTGACTTTAGGCACATTTCCAAACTATGCTAATTTTTTTCTTTTCTTTTCTTTTTTTTTTTTTGAGACAGAGTCTTACTCTGTCACCCAGGTTAATCTCGGCTCACTGCAAGCTCCACCTCCCAGGTTCACACCATTCTCCTGCCTCAGCCTCACGAGTAGCTGGGACTACAGGTGCCTGCCACCACGCCCAAACTATGCTATCTTTTTTTGAGAGTGTTTATGTTAAAATATTTTTTAAAAGTTTAAACAAGATAATCCATGCAAAATGCTTAAACCAGTATGGATGACAGTGCACTCAAATGTTAGTAGTTAAGAGTTAAATATCAACTATTTTCAACCAGAGAGCATACTAGATGCTTTTATTTATACTAGTTAATTTGGTCTTTATAATTAGTGTTGTGAAGTTATTAAGGCAGAATTGGGTAAATAAGAAAAATACTGTGAGCATTTTCTTCTTAAAGTTGTAGCAATATATTCCCGTTTTGTTACTTTCCATAATAAGAGTACATGTCTAGAATATTTTATATATTACTGAAGCCTGATATCATTTTTAGTATATTCTTAATTAAGATGTTTTATTATATGAATGTTTTATGAAATAGAAACAATGTCTCATAAAACCAAATATCTGCATAAAGTTATTACCTATTTATAAATATTTTTATTCACTGATTTTTCTGTAAGGAGAGTAAATATGATCACAATGTTTAATGTATTACTAAAAAGAAACACATGATGTTTAAAAAAGTTACCCTGACATTTTTCAAACTGCTCTTTTATGCAAGGCATTGGCTGCATTCTATGTTGGGAATAGAGAGCAAACTACTGGAAGAGCAAGAAACAACATTATAAACGGGAGATGCTATAGTACTGGCGCATAATAGGTCTACCTGGAATGTTTTAACATTTTTAATTTGGCCTTTATAAATCTACATTGTGAACGAGACTCTGTTAAGCAGTATATGAATAGATTAATTTGAAAGTTATCAGAATGTGTAATTGAGAAAAGCACCAGTGTTTTGTTAGACTAGTCTAGGAAATTTGGACTGTGAGGGACAAGACACTAGAGGCACTTAGAAGACTACAGATGGGTCTCCCTAAGCCTGTTTTAGAAACAGTCTTCAAGGCTAGAACTGAGATGAGTTTGTGCCCTAGGGGAAGGGGCCAGTGCCTCTGAAATATCTGACTTCAGTTCCTTGCTCAAGAATGGTGACTGGGAATCATTCAGCATGGCTTGTGATTGGACAACAAAAAGCATGAGCAGGTACTCTTTTATGTCAATAAAATCAGTTGTGACCTTACCAGTACCCTGTAGGCAAAAGACACAAGAGGGTGATTCTCCAGGACTGGCTTACTTATTCTTAATGTGACTGTGCTTTATGAAAGAAGAAAACTTGTAAGGCCTACCTGTCATAATTACTGTGGCCAAGATGGCAAGAGAAATCTCTTATGTCTCTTTACCTAGAGAGCTTCAGTTAAATGGAGTTTGATGGGGCACAAAGTGTTAAAGGGCAAGGCCGTCCCCACAGAAGGAAAACTCATGTACCATTAAAGTCTAAATGTCTCAAATGAGACTATGTATGTGAAATTAAAATCACACCATTATAGAACTAATATGAGCTTATTAAGTATAATTAGGGAATTTTTGA
Source organism: Homo sapiens (assembly GCF_000001405.40). Taxonomy (NCBI): domain Eukaryota; kingdom Metazoa; phylum Chordata; class Mammalia; order Primates; family Hominidae; genus Homo; species Homo sapiens. The sequence goes on from NC_000007.14 coordinate 89,069,430, forward strand.
AACCAGAAAAAAGAAATATCATGCATACTTCAGTCATTCAAATACAATCACTATTTGATTCATTCCTTTAATTTTTTTTAATGTTTATTTCAATTTTGTAATTATATCACATAAAAATTTTGTACTTTTCAAAGTATGATATACGATAAGCATTTTGAGTGTTATGCTATGATATCTTATGAACATTATCTTAATGGCTGCACAATATTCCATTTTATGATTGCATTATGTTTGGAACTGTATACAGTATGGTCTATATTTACACTTTTGGAAATAGTCTGCTATATATCTTTTTAGTCGAATTTTCCCCCAGTATTTAGCACTGTACTTAAAAGCCTAGATGCTAGAATTGAATAAACTCAATTTTAAGCCACTTAATATTTGAATGACCTTGGAAGATTATTTCTTTTTAAAATATTTCAGTATTATCATCTGAAAATTAAGATAATAATACCTGCTGGCAGGATTGGAGTGAGGTTAAATGAGATATGCATGAAAGCAAGATGCCTGCTACAAACTTAGTGCTTGATAAATGGTACCTTATTATTAAGTGTATTTCCCTTGGGAAAAGCAAAATTATTGTGTCTAAAGGGTGTAAAGGTTTTATTTAATGTGTTTCTTGTTACCTACTGCCAAAGTGTGTTTTCAAACACCCAGACAATTAACAGCAAACAAATCAGTAGACAAGATTTTTTAGACTCTGTTCTGTGTTATGAAGTAAAGTGGCAAGGCACATTAGAAGGTAACCTTACTTGCAGGAGTAGATGGCAGATATAAATTATTTCAAGTACTATGGTCCCAAATATCAAGATTATTATGTTTTGTTTTTGAGAGAACAGCAAATGCAAAAGGCGCTGGCTTGAGAATAAGCTTAGCAAGTCTGAGAAACAGAAAATTGATCTAGGTGGCAGGGACACACTCAGAATGAGCTGGGGTGTGACACGGGGATCCAGGCTAGACCTGGAGGTGCCCCCAGGTCATGATAACAGCTCAGATCTGGCTCCCAGAATGATGTAATAACACTGGAGGGTTTATGCAGAGATGAGGTGAGTGTTAGAATCAGGCTGCTGTCTGCTAATACCATCTCAATTACTTCTTAGCTGTGTGAGCTGAGAGCAAGTTAACTAAGTTCTCTGAGGGATGGTTTCTTCATCTGTAAATTGATGGTAATAATAGGATCTATGTCCTTGTTTTGTTGTGAAGACAGAATGAGATGCAGCATGTAGCAATTCTAACCACTGTGCCTGGCCTACAGTAAGAATTTAGTAAGATTTAACCTCAGGCTCAATGGCAAATTTTATAAGGTCAAATTGATTTTGACCTTATAAATTGATTTTATAAGGACCATTGATTTTTTTTCTCGAACTCAAGGAGCTCGCTGCCCCTTAATGGGCATTCAAGTCTTCATTTGTAGAGAAAGAGAAAAACTGTATACTCTCTTATAATGGCATTTCTCCATTCCTAGTTATCAAGATTTCAAAATATAGTCATCCCCCAGTATCAATGGAGGAGTGGGGGATTGATTCCAGGACCCCTGTGGATACCAAAATTCATAGATGCTCAAGTCTCCCATATAAAATGGTGTAATATTTGCATATAACCTATGCACATCCTCTTGTATAATTTAAATCATCCCTAAATTACTTATCATACTAATACTATGTACATAATATTATGTACATATTTGTTATACTGTGTTGTTTCAGGAGTATTGACAAGAAAAAACTATGTACATGTTCAATACAGACACAATTGCCCTTTTTCTGAGTGTTTTTGATCTGAGGTTGGTTCACCCCATGCATGTGGAACCCACTCAATTCAAGGGTTGTCTGTATTAAATTGTAAAGACCGACTCAATCAGGAAATTTCAGTACCTAAATAATGCTTTGACAAAAATGTTAATTTTAAAATGTATGCATCTGACTTAAATGTGTTTTTATTTATTTTTATTTTTAAAAATTTCACTCAAGAAGTATAGAAAGTGTGTTTTTAATTAATTAAGAAAGTCTTTACAGGGTCATTTCACGTGATTGAGAGGTAAGGACACTCACCCAAAGGCATAGTTATAAAAAATATAAATGAAACTATGATATCAGGAAGCAGTAGTGCCCACAGAACAAACAATCACGGGGATAATCAGTAAATGTCCAATTCCATCACTAACTTATAGCCTATTTTCTGACTCATTCAATTACAATGTTCTTGTTCTCAAATTCAGGTCAATTTTGCTATCATTCCAATTTAAAATGCTAATTTTAACAAAAGGAAATATGCTTCTCTATGAGCAGAAATATTTGAAATTTTTTAAGTAGAGATTTTTCAAGTAGTAGATATTTATGCACACACAAATGTACACACACACACACACACACACATTTAATTTGTCTTCCAAAAACATAACATGGCATCCTACTAAGAAATACTTACTTTTCCTACCTAATTGTGAGATCCTTATTGTTACTTCTATAAGTTTTCTTACAAATCCTACTTGTTCTGGCCAATTTTTCAGGGTGATGACCTATCTCAAGCTGGGTCAAAGACCATAATCCTTGCTGCAGGTGATAAAAATGGGAAAGAGAAGCTAACCTAAGCTAGTCTGATAGAGGCCATTCTTCAGAGTTTTGACCTCGAAAGAGAGGGTCTGACTTTTAGCTCTTCTCTGTAGGTACAGATGTGAGGCTTTAGAGAAATGGTTTCCATGATCTTGCTTTTGGAAGAATTCAATCTCCAATAGGGAGAATGAGATCACTTGGCAAAGGAGAAAAGCCCACACAAATGATAGAAAGAGAACACATGTCTTTCACAGTCTCAATTCCAGTTTTCTCTGAGGCCTAGGTAACATTTCTTTCTCATGGTTAGAATGGTTTGGCTCACTGCCACTTGAAACTGTAGGAATCAAGACTAGTTGAAATTACTATGCCTTATTTTCCTCTTTTGGTTTCTACTTGCCAGAAGATTGCATAACTACTCAACAACTGCCTTTTAAATTAAAGAATGAGCTCTGTACTACATTTCAACTATTCTTTGAATAACTCTTAAACATTTGGATATCTGATATAGTATGAACTTGCACTATCTCATCCAATCTGAGCTTTACCTGAAAGTTGGGGCTACTGCCTCAGAGGGACCAGATCATGTACTCTCTTTTGGAGTATATGAATAAGTTGTATAAAAATAACAGTATGAATAAATATTCTATGCAAAATGAATAAAGGGCCTCCAAATAAAGGAAGAAATTCAGGAGAGTGACATGAGACTATGTAAATATAACCAGGAAGACAACAGAGAATAATATGTTGTTTGAGAAGAATTATAAAGGTTATTTTTGCCTTTTTCTTATTTCAACTCTATTTAGGGAATAAAAAAATGCAATGAAGAAATAAGGCTACTGCTTGGGAATTGCAAATGTGAGCTCATTTTATTTTATCTTCTCTTAAACTATATATCATAAAGATATATGAGAGCTCAGAAATGCACCTGGGCAATAAACTATTAGGTTTCTGAAATGAGTTCAAGCCAGGGTATCAAAGAGCTTATTCAATTAGGACATAGTTACTAGCCCTCAATCAGAGATTATGGATAATCAAGTTTGAAATAAAGACTGTTGACCCATTATTAACAACTGATAAAATAATAAATTTCAGAAATATTTCTAGTAATTTCTGTCAAAACATGTCATGAGAATTTTTAAAAGACTAGTTATCACTACCTGAAATAAATTAGTGAGCACTGGAAGTCAGCATAGGCACCCCAAGAACCCATTCAATTGAGTTTCTAATCAGTTGGTAGAAACTGTTTCTTATATTCTCCACAATAGCCTTTTATTAATACAGATTGGAAAATAAATTTTCACCTTGTATTTTGGGGAGGTAGGAATTTAGAAAGTGAGTCCTGTCCTACCATGGGGAAGGGTTTTCAAGTGCACTGAGTGAACAAAAATATGCTCACTCTGATAGATTTTCAGTAGAAAGAAATTATTCTATTTTTATTCCACATAAAGTTTTTATTAGAAAAGGCTGCTTATTTTTATCTAATAGGTTTTCTGAATATATTACCATAATTATCTGATCATCCCATTTATTTTGCTAGATTTCCTGTATCAGATCATTCTTGAAATTTTGCATTTGATATGTTGATAGATTCTTATTTTTTAAGAACTTTTTCTATATTCATAAGTAAAATTAGTCTATTATTTTGTTTTATACCACCTTCAATTTTGTGGTATTGGTGTCACTAGATTCGTAATCAAATGTGATATTTGTAGCATCAGAATTATTTTTCTTATGAGTTATGTGGAACTCATCTGTGAAATAATCTGTGTACATCTTAAAATACTTTTGATCTGTGTTTAACTTCTGGTCATTTAATTGTAATTAAAAAATCCGCTTTTTATTCTAAATTTTTAACTTTGTTAATAGGGATTCAGGTAATATTCAAAATGATGTCAATCTCAGAAGTTCCTCTGATTTTGAGATGATCACATAATACAAGTCAGGGATTTAGCAACAGCCCAGAGCTTGTCATAGTACTAAAAGGATTTTTCAATTTGTAGGACTGCCAAAGCCTACCACAAGGGAAGTACCAGTTTATAGAGGATGGGGTGGGAGGAATATTGAGGGAAGTAAAGATGAGAAATGGGGAAGGTAAAGTACTGATGATATTTGTTAAGTGTCTGGATACAGCCATTCCTGAAGCAAAAACTACCTCCTGGAGTGTTCATTTACGTGAGCCAATACATTCTAATTGTTTTATGCCAACTTGAGTTGAATTTCTTGTAAAGTCAAAGGATTTGGATTAAAATATTCTTCCCTCTCTTTCTAGGAGAAAATAAATACATATTCCAGGCAAATGAAAAAATCAATAATATAGTTTGGCTGTGCCTCCACCCAAATCTAATCTTGAATTATAAGTCCCACAATTCCCATGTGTCATGAGAGGAACCCAGTGGGAGGTGACTGAATTAAGCGGCAGGTCTTTCCTGTGCTGTTCTTGTGATAGTGAATGAGTCTTATGAGATCTGATGGTCTTAAAAAGGGGAGTTTCCTTGCACAAGCTCTCTCTTTGCCTGCCCTCATCCATGTAATATGTGAATTGCTCCTCCTTGTCTTCCACCACAATTGTGAGGCCTCCCATGCCATGTGGAACTATAAGTCCATTAAACCTCTTTTTATTCCCAGTCTCTGGTATGTCTTTATCAGCAGCATGAAAATGAACTAATACAGTAAATTGGTACCAGTAGAGTGGGGTGCTGCTCAAAAGATACCTGAAAATATGGAAGTGACTTTGGAACTGGGTAACAGGCAGAGGTTGGAACAGTTTGGAGGGCACAGAAGAAGACAGGAAAATATGGAAAAGTTTGGAATTTCCTAGAGACTTGTTGAATGGCTTTGACAAAAATAATGATAGTGATATGAACAATAACTTCCAGGCTGAGGTGGTCTCAGATGGAGATGAGGAACTTGTTGGGAACTGGAGCAAAGGTAACTCTTCTTATGTTTTTGCAAAGAGACTGGCAGCATTTTGCCCATGCCCTAGAGATTCGTGAACTTTGAACTTGAGAAAGATGATTTAGGGTATCTGGCAGAAAAAATTTCTAAGCAGCAAAGCATTCAATAGGTGACTTGGGTACTGTTAAAGGCATTCAGTTTTATAAAGGAAGCAGAGCCTAAAAGTTCAGAAAATTTGCAGCCTGACAATGCAATAGAGAAGAAAATCCCATTTTCTAAGGACAAATTCAAGCTGGCTTCAGAAATTTGCATAAGTAATGAGGAGCCAAATGTTAATCCCCAAGACAGTGAAGAAAATGTCTCTAGGGCATGTCAGACGTCTCTACGGCAGCCCCTCCCATCACAGACCAGAGGCCTAGGAGGAAAAAATGGTTTCATAGGCCAGGCCCTGGGTCCCTGTGCTGCGTGCCATCTAGGGACTTGGTGCCCTGCATCCCAGCCACTCCAGCCATGACTAAAAGGGGCCCAGGTACAGCTCCAGCTGTGGCTTCAGAGGGTGCAAGCCTCAAGCCTTGGCAGCTTCCATGTGGTGTTGAGCCTGCAGGTGCACAGAAGTGAAGAACTGAGCTTCAGGAACCTCCACCTGGATTTCAGAGGATGTGTGGAAATGCCTGGATGTCCAGACAGAAGTTTGCTGCAGGGGTGGAGCTCTCATAGAGAACATCTGCTAGCCCAGTGTAGAACGGAAATGTGGAATCAAAGCCCTCACACAGAGTCCCTACTGGCGCACCGCCTAGTAGAGTATGAGAAGAAGGCCACAATCCTCCAGACCCCAGAATGGTAGATAACACTGACAGTTTGTACCATGTGCCTGGAAAAGCCATAGATACTCAACACCAGCCCATAAAGGCAGCCAGGAGGGAGGCTGTACCCTTAACAGCCATGGGGCAAAGGTGCCCGAGACCATGGGAACCCATCTCTTGGATCAGCATGACCTGATGTCAAAGGAGATCATTTTGAAGCTTTAAGATTTGATTGCCCTGCTAGAGTTAAGATTTGCATGGGGCCTGTAGCCCCTTTGTTTTGGCCAATTTCATCCATTTGGAACAGCTGTATTTACCCAGTGCCTGTATCACCATTGTATCTAGGAAGAAACTAACTTGCTTTTGATTTTACAGGCTCCTAGGTGGAAGGGCCTTGCCTTGTCTTTGATATGATGTTGGACTGTGGACTTTTGAGTTAATGCTGAAATGAGTTAAGACTTTGAGAAACCGTTGGGAAGGCATGATTGGTTTTGAAATGTGAAGACATGGGATTTGGAAGGGGCTGGGGTGGAATTATATGGTTTGGCTGCATCCCCACCCAAATCTCATCTTGAATTGTAAATTCCACAATCCCCCTGTGTCATGGGAGGAACCCAGTGGGCGGGTCTTTCCTGTGCTGTTCTCGTGAGAGTGAATGAGTCTCATAAGATCTGATGTTTTTAAAAAGGGTAGTTTCCCTACACAAGCTCTCTCTTTGCCTAACTCCATCCATGTAAGACGTGACTTGCTTCTCCTTGCCTTCTGCCATGATTCTGAGTCCTCCCCAGCCATGTGGAATTGTAAATCCATTAAACCTCTTTTTCTTCCCAGTCTCAGGTATGTCTTCATCAGCAGCATGAAAATGGACTAATACAATCAGTTATAAAGAACCTCTCTTATGTACATAAGAAAAATATTGTCAAATAATACAACCAGTTAGATCCAAATGATTTCTGATAATATGACTGTGACATTTACAGAAATTTTTATTCAAAGATTCTTAAGAGAAATTTTTGTATAAATTAAAATATTGTAGCTAGTAGAGTGATGTTATACCAGAACTATTGTTAAAAAATAATAGAGGCTTAATTAAGCATACATGCAAACTGAAAGGGTGGATAAAATTCAGTATTAGTGGGTGGACATACAGGAGAGAGAAGGATGCTGAGAGAGTCCCTGGGAATAGGAGGGATTTACAATTAAAGCACTGCTGGGGGAATGAACCTCAGGGCAATGGGGAGAAGAACACAGGGGTGGCCCACATAGGCAAGTATATAGTGTCATATGCCAGTGAGAATGGCGCTGTCTAATGGCTTCAATATTCGGTGACATAATCTGCAGGGTCAGAGCATATATGTGGAGACTGAAGTTGAGGGAGAATGGAGGATATCTGAAACAGTGATGATGATGTTCCCTTGATGTTGCTTTCCCTGTCATAATGGTCAGTAATCAATCCTATTGTGTAATGCTCTTCAATAAACTTAACTGCTGTAGGGCAGGTACAGGAAAAGCAGGTTCTTGGGATCATCCAGACCTGGAGAAATTCAGAAGTGGAGGGAAAGTATAAAAGCCTAGAGGTAAGGAATTCTAGATTTTTGGCAGAAGGGTAATTCGTTGAATAATGGGTCATGGTATGTCAGTAAATGAGGAAAGTGAAGAAAGAAGGTTGACATTTTTTTTTCAAATGTAGATGTTTCTGATAGCTGTAAGATATAAAATCACTTACAAAAATTACACATTTTTTAACAGCCTTAATTACAATCTTATTTAGAGCAACCTGTGTTTTGATTAGGTATTGTTTAGAGAAAGATAATTTAACGAGATCGTTTATTCTTGAGTAAGATTTCTGAAATAATTGAAAGGAAGAGGAAGATAAAACCTTGTGGTGCCTGGTGATATAGCACTTTATGTTCTGCTCAAGTTCAAAAGATAACTTTTTTAAAGTTCTGAATTTGAAAATATGATTTCAAAATACTTAAAAAATTTCTGTCTTTGCAATTACATTTAAAATGTTGCTTCTTCCTAACTGTATATTTTTGAATAAAAGATGTTATATTAGCTTCCCCAAGGTTCTCTCTTTCTTAAGCTAATCAGTGGGATTCAAGTGAAATTAGGTGAATAAACAATTAAAACTACTTAACTGTATCAATATAAATAAAAATACCTAAAGTGCTATTCACCTTAAAAGTATTTCCAGAAAAACCGCAAGGGTTTTTATCATATGACCTCTAATTGAATTATTGTGCTCACTCTTATTCAGGTTAACCAGTTGAAAATTTTCTTAGAACCACTTTGTATTAAAATATTTCTGTAATACATAAATAAGGCTAATAAGAGCAATACTGTAAAGGCATTACTCTAATTAAAAAATTCTATGGCTACTGAGAGTTAAGAAGACATAATTTTATCAATTAACGTTAAATGTTTACGAACTTAGTAATGGGATAGTGAGCTCCATTTGGAATTCCTTCCTGTCTAAATATTTACCATTATTAAGGTGAATCTCAGTGTGATGACTAACTTTTTCAGACTTGCTCAGTAATTTACAATATATTATTGCATCAATGACTTGAGCACTGCGGGAAATCAAGTTTAATCAGTATATTTTGTGCTAGGAAAAACAAATGCTAAGCTTTATCTCCCTTTAGCATAGCATGTGCTTACTAGAAATGCTCAATTAAGAACTTTGAAAATTGTTGGTCATGCTTCTAATTTGATGCAGCCTCTAAAGACCAGTATGCAAGAGTCTTTGAAATTAATATATTGCTGAGAAAATAAAATTCTTCTTCATTTGGGCTAGGAAAATGTGTTTTATTTGTTTTCCTACCATTCTTTACCAGAGGAAGGTTTTCCTTTCCCTTCAATATTACCTAAATATTTTGCAATCAGATAAATAAAATGATAAAATGAGATGTTAGGGCAATATAAAAAAAACACAATATTGCAATTTGTCTAACACGATTTTTTTTTTTTTTTGCAGTTTGTTACCTCTCTTACATATTTTCTAACTAAGATTTTTCTATTGCCTCTAAAAGTATGTCCAGTATTATTTTCTCCTCTGTAAGGGATTAAAATAACAATTTAAGAAGAAGGAATTAGGGAGTCTGAGAAATACAATTGGTCTTTCTAACCTCCCTTCTTCTTTCTTCCACCATTTACTCAAAATATTTCAAACTTTCAAACCATGATATTATAAGATATATAAAGGCCTACTTTATTCATTCAGGTAGATTAAAGGAGATGGAGTATGGGGCCAATTGTTTATTACGGAAATTCTGACGTAGTAGTTGTAGTTCTTGTTACTCTTTTTCCATGCTTTTATACTTCTAATTTTTAAAATCCATAACTCTTTCAGCTTTGAATGGCTCAAAATGTACCTGCCACTTTTGCTTTTAAGTATATCAAATTCCCAGTGATTTGTCAAGATATGTGTATCCATTTAGCAACAAATAAATTTCATAGAGGCCACAAAATATAGAGGCACCATTTGTGAATGAGGGATAAGATAACATGAGGTTCTTGCAGTTGTTCTAGAACATGGCTATTAGATGTTCTAACCACAGCTGAAGCATTAAATATTACATGGTCATTTTTTTTTCTACCCAGGGGCAGCCTCTAGGCTAAATGTTTTTTATTTTGACATTTCCTTTGCAGTTCTATGTTTAGCAAGTAAAAAGTAAAACATAAGATAGTTTGGCAAGTGTCACAAATTAATAAGTAAAATACCATTAAATAAAGACCTGATTTGAATACAGAGTCCTTCACTCTTAGGCAGGTAACCCTTTGGTAAATTTTTCAATATCTGGAAACTTGACTTATTTACTCAACACCTGTTAAACACTTACTCTCTGCAAAATTCTCTTATGGGTGATATAGATACTGCAGTGAATCTGCCTTTATGAAGCTCACATTCCAGTTGGGGCAGACAGGCATTAAAAAGGGTGAAAAATACATGAAATTTAGATAATAAGTGTAAGTCAAAAAACAAAAACAAAAACAACATAGGAGACAAGAACTAATATAGGAGGACTAATATTTTAGATAGTGTGTGCCAGAAAGGCCCTTCTCAGAGGTGACTTTTGCGTAAACATGACTTGCCGATATCCAGGGGAAAAGCTTTCCAAATAAAGGAAATAGATGTCCAACAACTCTGAGATGAGATCAATACTGGTATATTCAGGGAGCAGCAAGAGGCCCATGTGGCCAGTACACTATGAAGAGTATTAGGAGATAAAAAGAGGAAAATAGAGAATCATCAGGGAACTGGATTATGGAGCACCTTGGAGGTTATGAGAAACCATGAAGGCTTTGAGCTTTGGCATGACAGGATAACTTACATTTTTATTTTTTTTTTAGAATGACACAACCTACTAGAATGAAAATAGAGTGAAGGTAGGCTAGTCCTGAAATAAGGAAACTGATTAGAAGGCATTGCAATAATCAAGGATAAAGATGGTGCCTTGGACCAGGGCAGTGGTGGTGGTGACAGGTAATCAAAGATTGGGTCTAATTTGAAGAAACCTCAATCAAATCCTACTGAAGTTAATTAGATTTGCAAGACTATTGTGTTTTTGAGAGAATGAGAAAAATCACATAGCTTCAGTCTCTTCACCTTAAAAAAAAAAAAGTATATCATTTGCTCATTTGCCTTGTGGGTTGTTGTAGAAACATATTATAAAAATTAAATAAATGGTAGTTATTATTTGAGCTATTTGCACTAGTTATATTTAGACTATGCCAAAGACTGAACATGCCATTTTATAACATAGCTTTTAGGAAGTAATACTTCCGTTCTGAGAGCAGGAGAACCTCTAATTAGCTCTTTATGCTCAAGAAACATTTCTTCTTCTATATTTATATGATTTTGATTAGTAAAGGTTATGATCTGTAGAGATCCAAGTGACTCTTCATAATTGAGCCTTTTATCCATGGAAGGCGTCTCATCCAGTCACTTTCCATTTGGTTGAACATCTTGAGGAAGAGTCCCTTTCACTGGTGAACATAGTGAACTATTCAGTTCTGCCTCAGCATGCTCAATCTAGAAATCCCAAGGAATAGGAGGTGACATCGACCATGAAGAGCTGCCTTATTCTTATAAATTTTAAGTGCATTTTGTAGCAAGTTAAAGCAGGGTGTTTTGATGCTTTTTGTCATAATAAGGAATTCCCCACACATCCCCTACATTTTTAGGAAAAAGTGTCTAAGTCCTAAATATGTGCTAAAATCCATCTACAGAAATCTATCAACAACTAAATGAATAGATAATTTTCTCCACACTGAAATGTGAAAAGCTTGATGCATTCCAAATATTTTTGCTTGATATATACAATTTGATAAGGAGAATCTACAGTTGCTATTACAAAGCTAGGCTTTCAGAGATAAAGAAGAGTTAACCGAGGGATGTTGGAGCAATAGAGATGAATTGGGCTTTGCTATCCTGTATCTAATAGAGCCAAGATTGCTCCTTAGATTGAGAAAAAAAGTCAGCCTTCTTCAGGGACACTAGACAGCTCAGGGCTAGAAATTTGAAACTTATTCAGTGCCAGGAATATAGAAAATAATAATTAGAATTGAAGGCAGAACTGAGTTTAATTAGATATTAGGCAGGGTAAGTACTGAACAGGGTCAGGTGTTCTTCAGAAATAACTCTGGATCTCTCCAATTAGATATACTACCCTGCCCCCCAACCAGGTGCTCTCATAACTTGATGTACTTGTCCTTTTTAGAGTAACAAATTTACATTTATTTTGTTATTTGATCAATATTGCTTACTTCCAATCCATTCTAGGTCTATAATTTCCCCTAAGGCTGGTTTAGATCCCCATTATGAACTAAGAATAAGCACAATACATGGCACATATAACTCAATCACTTATGGAAGAAAGTGAGGAAGAGATAAAAAAGAAAAACAGGTCATCAACATTTAAGCAAATTAAATGAAGACCATCCTGAGATATAGCTGGGGATTCACATAATCTCTAACATAGACATCTTTGGAAAATGGACTTTTCTTACACCCCTTCACTATTTTAAAATCTAACTGCTCTCATTCTTTACTCCTTCCCATGTCTATTGACCAAATTGTTCATCTTGTTGTATTTGGGTGTTATAGATCATGTTGTCAATGACCTATGAAAAGCAAATGACCTTATTTTCAACTTTCTATACTTTAGTTTCTTCTCTGAAATATCCCTTTTGTCTGAAACTCTTCCTTTCTTCAAATCCAAGGGAACATCTTCACTTCCTTTCAATTTCATAAATTTACCTAAATTATTTCCAGGTTTCCTGGAAACTCTAATATTCACCCATTCTCATAATTATTTTTGATAGGATATGAAGTAAATGTCAGTTTATTTTTCTGCTTATAATTTTGCAACTTAAGTTATATCAATAGTTTAAGAATTATACAACACTTATCTACCAAAATATTACCCAACTTTGTGTGAAGAACATTGGTAAAAGCTTCCTACAGATTATTAATAAATGCCAACTAATAATATTACGCTGATGAAAGGGAACAAATGCCAAATGACAACTCAACAGCCATCCTAAATTATATTAAAATTTGAATATAAATAGATGTTCAAATGCAAAATAGATAATTTTTATCCGCATATATTTACTGGTTAGGCTTTTTTGAAATTACAATTATAAAGTAGGCAAACTTGGTTATAAGCATTTCTTATCTGATATATTAGTGTTTTTTTATTATTTTTCTTACAAGCACCTATTATAGTAATGTTCTCTATTTTCCATTTAAATTTAAATTGGATTTAAATTTTCCATTTAAATCCAAAATTCAAAGCAAAACAAAATACTTTTAATATAAATTACACTAAGGAGTAGAAAATTATATTACACAGTTTGTTGCATCACCCACATATAGTAAAAATAATAAAACTAGTAACTCTTCTTCTTTGAAATGCCATCTATCACTAGGTTGCAGATGAGGTAGAGGTGGACTTATTCCTGATTTCAAAATCTTACCATTATTCTCCTTCTTATTAAACTAACTTTTATGACTGATATAAGTGGTTAAACACAAAATAAATCACCAGCTCATTTGTAGCTATCATTTGCATGGTACCCAGGGAATCCCACACTATTCAATGGAAGACATGTGTAGCGATCTAAATAAGTGTAAAAATGGTAATTCTTCTGGGGTGCAAAGGAAATGAGTGACCTAAAGAGAATTTTTGTTTTTCTACTATATTACTTGTAGTTGACAATTCTTTTAATATTTGATATGTAGATAATTACATATTATTGGCACTTTGAAGATTGATTTTTACTATTAACAGAAAAATTATTTTAATAATAATCTGTGTTTTGTTCATGTAATATTATTTTGAGTAAAGGATTTCCAAGGGCATTTTATTTTTGTAAATGTCCTTTGAAGTTTTGTAAATGCCTTTTGTAAATGCCTCTTGAAATAAAGATCCCCTTTACAGCAAAGAAGACTTTAAAGAAGAAACTATGTTTTGACTGCCACAAAATTTGAAATTCTGCTAATTAACCTAGAAACAGAAAATATAGCTTACTGTTATGGAATCTATTTTTACACACACATACCTACACAGTATAATATTACAAGATTTTTGGAATGACTATGTGCAATTATTTGGACTTTCTGAAATATCATGAGCTCTACAAGAAACAATACATGTTTATAATCATATCTGTTAATAATTTCTGTTCCTTTCTCCAAATGCACTCTCTTGGTTCTGGGTTTCTGATCATTTGGGGGAATGTCTATAATGTTAGTGGCTCAGCAGGATCATAAATAAATAAAAGACTAAGGCAAGAATAAATGGCATTGATTATTATTGTACATTCCTAATAATTTTATAATATATATTCAGAAACACATGTGTTTGAGGATGTACCTAACTTTATATGTCTGAATAATACTTACTCATACTCAAGCAATATTCCAAGTGTAGCAAAACCGTTACACTTTGGAAAGAACTGAAACCAATATAAAAACAAAATTTCATATAACTTAAGTACAATAATAAAAGTGAAACATATTGAGACCGTTAAACTTTGAAGATTTTTTTTTCAGAAATTAAAAGCTATAACCTATGGATTAAGTTTATACCTGAAAAAGAGTGTATTTCTTCTATTTGTCTTTGTGTTGCATCCTAAAGGATTGGACGATATAACCAAATGGCTCCAAATATACTTCAGATATGAGTAGGACCCATTTAATGATGCCTGAGGCCTGGAGTCAATATAACACTGTGATTTTAGCCACATGATTGTTTCTTCATTGGGTTAATTTACAAAGCCTCATCAGAACAGTCAAAGAAATGGCAGAAGCTGGGGATAGATGGAATAGGACAAAGATATCTAGACAGGATGTAGGTCTGGCAAGTCTTGATGAGCTGTCAAGCTATCTAAATCACTCTGATCAAAATCTGGGTGGACACACAAAGAAGCTTGATCTATAGGCAGAGCACAGCAGATGGATTTTCTCAACTGTAGCAATGCCCTGAGTTATGTGAGGAGTATGATTCTAGGAGATTTGCACAGCCAGTGAGAATCTGTTGCCAGTCTCAGGGAGTGGGAGTGGGAAGCAGAATCTTAGAATCCTTAGAATCTTAGAATCAGCAAGCTGATTGAATTTCAAGAGAAAGCTCAAATCCTAGGAGGACCAACCATAGTGAAGTCAAGATACTGAAAGAGAGGTTAAATGGTACAGTGTAAACCATACTATAGGTTTAAGCAGAAGTCTACAGAAAATAACTCTCACCCCAGGCACATTGGATACCAGATTATATCAGATTTTTCAGGTATTGGCTGCTAATAATATTTCCCACTGTGGCAAGTGTTTACAGTGGTAAGCATGGAAAATTGGTTTCAGTGACACCAGCAAATCAGCTTATTCCATTAGTATTAGAACTCTAAACAATTATATTTATACTTCCAGATCTGACTTAGATTTTTGTATCAACAAGGTCAGGTATGAAGGATACATTGCTGACACTGATTTCTTAATGTCTATAAATGTCTTCAAATGTTTAGATAACAATAGTAATACACACACACACATATTTAACTACCTACATAGATATAAAACAAACCATCTTCTTTAAAACAAATGAGTTCTCTAAAATAATTACTATTTATATGATTTCTATTTTTCACATTTTTGTTCTATTCGGACTGGATTTTTACTTCTTCAATAAAATGTTATTTATTACTGGTTTCTAATAAGTAAAAATACTATGGTGAAAAACTGCAGCATGACAATTTCTATAAATAATCATTTATAAAATAATATTACTGAAAGAAAAAGACAAATATGGACTTTGAAAAATTGCCCTGTAGCTCTTTTTATTTCAAGGGGACAGACTGTTTCTGTACATGGTTTCATTTTCCTTGAACTTTCTTTAGGTTAATCTTTCCAAATCAAGTAACCCTGTTCAGCATTCATTCTGTAAGTTTAGAATATGCTCGCCAAATCAAAGCTCTTTTGAAAAATCGAAGCTGCCTTTGTTGGGGAACATTCATAAATTGACATGTTTTCTATGTTTGAGATTTTCTACTTTCTTCCCTTTCACCTGCACACTTCAAGATTTATTACAGATTGTCAGAAGAAATGATTGCCTTCCTAGTTTTATAGAACTCCAAATAAGAAATCTAATTTGTTGTTTCTCTTGGATCCCTGGTTAAAGTTTCTGAATAGTTTGGGGCAGAACTCTTTTTCCTCCATAAGTAAGCCTGTTTTAGTAGTTGAAAAATGTTCTTGGAGTTGATGAATTGAAGTACAATTTTTTTTCTGCTTTTAATTGCTCCCCAAGTCTGCTATGTTCACTCTGCAAGAGTGAGTATTAATCCATGGAACCGTGGTTAATTGTGAGGTGGGTAAATTCAATGATGTTTGGATATTTCACTTGGATGCATGAACACTCTATATGCCACTCAAATGACCTCATTCCATATGCCTTACAAGTGTCTCTGTGACACTCTGCAGGATTTTTTGTCTATGTGCAAAGGAGGCACACAGCTGTTAATTGACAAGGTAAGTAATTGTCTTCTGATTACAGTAGTTAAAGGCTGTTCTCTAATGGATTTTACTTGTCACTTTTAATTCTTTTTAATCTTTGTCTGCATTTCATTAGAATGGCTTTATCATTTGGATTGCCCTCCTGTTGGTTATTCTGATAAGATTTAATGGGTTATCTTCCAACTATGACAATCCCTCAAAAATATAATAGAGTGATATTTAGATTCTTCCGGGATTTTTAAAACACGATTGCTTTTCCAACCCATTTTTTCTCTTTTACACTTCACATTTTTGCAAATCAAGTATTTTGCATTTTCTACATGCCCTGAGCAAGTTTCTGCTTTAATCTTCCATGACTTAATCTATTGACTAAATAGGAGATAGTTGGTGAGGCAGTTAGGAAAGAGCCTGTTATCATTTTCTATTCTGCTTACCTGCTGTGATTTTATTTATTTATTTATTTAATTTACAAGCAATAGGCTTTAACTGCAGTTTTCTAAGAGATGATTCAGGTACTGACAAAAATATTTGTAAACCTTTTAGGATCTGGGGATAACAGAAAAGTAAACTTGTAAAAATGGTTCATTATGCATTTCGTGATGCAGAAATGTAATGTTAAGTCATCATTTATTCTATAATAGAGCATTTTTAGGTTTTGCATATGTTCCCCTACCTATGAAAATGACAATTTACATACAAATGCATATCTTTAATCATATCTCACTCCTCTATAGCTAGTGCATTTACCAAACAGCTCTTTATAAGGTGTACTGTAATTACTGAATTATGCAGTCAAGGTGTCTGGTTAGTGGAAATAATTTATTGATGTAATAACAACTATTAAAAATAAAAACTGCAAACATTTGTGGGAAAGAGACAAGATAGAATATCTGGCCTTTTTAATGTTTAATAAATTGGGATAAATTGTCCTACCTTGGTTTCAAATACAATTGAGTCATTTAACAATCATATTTGGCAAAGGTTGTATGATGCTGAACCATGCAGCAGATGGTGGAATTACAGAATGCAAAATTTTATGGGATGCCTTTTCAGAGTTTGCTAAAGTGAGATCTAGTGCATGGTTTTTATAATAAATTAATTCTTCCTAGAAGCTTGTGTGTAAGTAATTTGACAAAACAGTTATAATAAAAATTTGTCTTTGTATAAAATTGAATCTATACCTAATGCTAAATGATGAGTTAATGGGTGCAGCACACCAACATGGCACATGTATACATATGTAACAAACCTGCACGTTGTGCACATGTACCCTAAAACTTAAAGTATAATGATAATAAAAAAAAATTGTAGTGCCAAAAGGCAAAAAATAAATAAATAAAATACATAATAACTTTTTTTAAATTCAAAAAAAAAAAAAAAGAAAGGAAGCACAATTTTCGAAGGACTCAGTGCACTCATTGGTTTTTAAGATGTACCAGTGAAGTGGTAAGTCAAAATTGGTGTATATTTGGAAGCTTAAATGAATTTCATTTTTGGTAACGTAACTAAGAGTTTTAAAGCATAAGTATGAAAATAAGTAAGACAAACAGTGATCATTTTCAATTCTTGATTTGCCCTTGTTTAAATTGTAGCTGCCCAAAATGGTTGTGTGACTCTAACCTCAACTATCATATATTTTCTGATTATAAAAAAAAAGGGTCCAAATGTTAAGTACTAAATGTGCTTATGAGATATTATAATGCTTCAAAGTCCCAGAAGTGACCTCAAATCATTTGAGTAATTATGTAGAAAAGGAATACATAAATATTAACATTAATAACACATAAATACAACATCAAAATACACTAAGTAAATATTACAGTTATTTAAATATGCAAGTGCTTTGCAAATTTAACTAGTTTTGATATCTCTTTAAATGATTTTTATTCATAGATTCACCAGAAAATCATATATTTGATTCTATATGTTAGTGTCTGTTGAACTTTACATATTAAACTAAAATTTTGTTAAAATGTGGAACCCATTGGTAGAAGACATTGACTCTCAAGTATTTCATTTATGTTTATCTTCTGTGTGACACATAAAACTAGTAATTCTACTTTCTACTTTCTTTCTTTTCCCAAATCTTTCATTGCTTTCTTCTACTTTCCTACCGTAAGAAATATATGTACTATGTACTGGGCAGAGTCCTCTCTTCTTGGCCAAAGCTAAATTACAAGAGGTTATACAGGAAATGTCCATGTTCAATTAGAAAATCTCTGGAAATAAAGATCTCTCAACAAAATCATGGTAGTGTTATGTGCTTATATATATAAGCTTACACATATATGTATATAAATATATATATATATTAATTTATTTCGTTTCCACCATAACTCTTCAAGAGAGTATATTTGATTTTACAGACAAGAAAATTAATTTGCCCAGGATCACACAGTTTCTAACAGAAAGAACCACAAACCCAACCCAGTCTGGCTGAATCAAGAATTGTTCCTCTCAGTGTTCTGTTCTGATTCTCTATTAAGTTTATAGTTTCATGATTATTACTGTTAAACCTTGAGAAATAAGGCCAAACTGAAAGGTGGAAATATCTAGAAGCAAGAACTGACCCTCAGATAAACACTAAAAGGGAAATGACATGTAAATAAATTCCCATTTATGAAAACCTAGAAAACAAAGGCAAGGTGGATATAGGAGCTGAGAATGAGATCTGGAACCCTTAAAAAGTCTAGAATATGGTAGCCACTTGAAATCTATAACAAGTTATTGCTTATTTGTGACATGCTTTTTCTCACTTTTGAAAATGCTTTGTAATTAATTTTCAAAAAGAGCAAAGCAATGTATTGTGAGTCAGATCTATGAGTAAAGGCCCCATGTAATAAGGACTGGATTCAGTTTATTCATCGCCCTAGGTCCTTGCACTTGCCTTGCCTTGCTCTCTAGCCAGAATATCCCTGGTACTAACTTCTATCACTCCTGCATCCTAGATAAGAGTCACAGCTGCTGTCTCTGATGTTGCTCTTGTTTGGGAGCAAACCCCCTGTCATGCTCCATGTCCTCTACCTCTGGGCTTCCTTGTTGCCTCAGACCACCTCTGCACAGTATGGACATGCTGAGAGTTAACACCTTGTGGAGGCAAACATTGAACAATGTGAAATGGGAGGCAGTTGATGTTTTCTTCCTTCTTCTTCCCCTAGCTAGATTTTCAAAGGTGTAGCAGCTACATAAAGCCTCTCTAAAGACTGAACAGTCGTCCTGCTACAGAACCATGGCCAGCCCAGCAAGGCTCTCCTTCTTTATATTTGCTATTCCACCTCCCTTGCCACATTCCCCTTTGCTCTCATTTCTCTCCATGTGCTCCTGGGTAAGGTGTTATCACATAAGCCTTTTTTTCCTTTTTTTTTCTTTTTTTTTTTTTTCCTAGGGAGTCTAAGGAGAGCTAAAGTATAGCATACTAGCTTAAATGTAGTTTAATTTCTATGAAGATTACATGCAGTTCCCTTCAAAAGTTTTCCTTAATAACTACTTTTTATTGATTTTTATATGATTAACTCTATTTCTCAGCTCATTGCTAATTCTTGAACAAGGAATTCTTCAGTGTTAAAATTACCATTCTCTTGATGTAACAAGACATAATACTTCATTATGTTGTATTTGTTACCTAAAAATGTGCTGTGCTCAGATACAGATGGCTATGTTTTCGGAAAAATTTTTTTTCCCATTTCTCTGAATAGGTATATATAGAATCACATGTGTAAGTATATAATGTTTATATGTATATATTAACCTTTGGCAGCAAATGTTGTCTTAACAATTTCTTAATAGCCTCCTCTGTAAAATGGAAATGAGTGGTAATTTAACTCAACCACTTTAAAATGCTTCATAAGAGGTAGAGAAAAAAAATTTTTTTTTGCACCCACACATACCAATACAAATGCACACACATACCCAAACACACCAATCACAAAAGCAGAAACAACATCAAACAAAACATCTAAATATATTAAAATTTAAATATTGAAATATAATTAAAATGAAATTAAATTTATTTTTAAGTCAAAGTTATTTTAGTTTGATACTTGCCTGAAATGTGCAGGTGGCAAGTACATATTTAAAATGCAGGTGTTGTATTTTCTGCTAACTTTACTTTTGAAAGACTTTCAACATATCATTTCTTATGGAAAATTATACTCAATAATTCTCAGCTACACAGCATTGACTTAGAATGGATTGTAGGCTGTGCTAACTGATATATAAGGTGAAGAACCCAAAGATCTATGTGTTTGAATTGTTTAAAGAGAAAAAAATAGCCTAAGATTTTTTCTCAAATTTTAAAAGTAGTTGTTACATTTACGGACAGTAAAATAAATAGATCTGGCCATTACAACTGTGAAACACAATAGGAAAATAAGCACAAAGGATATTCTTAGTTTCCAACATCTAATTGCAATTGGGCTTTCTCTTCCCATCATCATTAATTAATAATAGATAACATTTATGTTGCATGTACTGAACATTTCTCATCACATCCTCAATATTTAAATACAAAGAATAAAAACTTCACTGGGATACCATTTTTGTCTGTTTTGTTTATTGCTACGTCTTTACCTCATAGAAGGTTCCTGGAATGCAGTAGATGTTCAGCGAATTTTTGTGGCCTAAGTAAATATGAAAATTTTTTAAAATGCTAGAAAAAAATGTAAGAAGAAATGAAAAGTTTCAGGATAGAATAAGAGAGACTTGGGATGTATTTTCAGGATGTGATTAGTTAGTTCCTCTTTATCTCCTAAATAAATAGTACAATGTTTGGCACAAAGGAAAATAATCAACATGTATTTGATAAAATAAATGTAACCCAAAATATTGTATATAGGTATAGTTTTAGTTTGTTGACTACTTATAGGTATTTAGTAGCCTCATGATGATTATTGGATTATAAAGATGAAAAAATAGGAAATTCAGCATTACTAATTGTCTACTTTATTGAAAAAACAATTACCTAGCTAGTAATTTGAGGACTTTGGACTGCCTAGCCACCAGTAATACAAATACACAGTTTTTCAATGGCTTTCTTCCTTTTCCCCTTCAAAAAATACAAAAATACTATTCTGGTCTTTAAAGATTTTTAATTTGTTTTGGCAGGCTGCATACAGGCACATGTATGCAAGTAAAAATATACATATACCCACAGAGAGTATAAAGGAACTGAAAATATTTAAAAAGCTATTAATAAAGACTGATACAGACTATACCAAATGCAAAAATGCTGAGAACTGCACACGTAATTAAAAATAAAGGGGTGATCAGAATCAGGCAATAAGTAACACATTTTGAGGAAAGTTTGGACGTAAGTATTGAGTATGTGGATGAGCTTTCCATACATAATGCTTCGTCTAAATTTATCTTTCCTGTTTTCTTCTTCCAAAATTTACTTCATTTTTTATCAGTAAATTTAATGATAGCTTTTGTCATTGAATAATATGAAAGATTGGCTTTAGCAAACCACAGCATATCTAAAAATTCATGAGTTTAGGGATGCTAATTATCTCAGGATAATAATGCCAGCTAGGAAAAAAAAAAAAGTAAAGTCTTTCAAATTAAGTGACTTAGATGTAAATTAGATGTAAATCACACATCATTTTAAAGAGAGAAAAACAATTTCCTTTCAAACATGGTGAGACCTAGCCAAGTCAGCAACAGAAACAAATATGTAGTAACAGGTGGCAAAAAGTTTATTATTTTACAATATTTCTCTATTAGATTTGCCTCAATTTCTTGGGTTGAGTATTTTCAGAGCTTTGAATGAATACTGGAATTTAAACAAGTTTTCTCGGTAAAAGTCGAAAGTAGATAACTAGCCTCAGGAAAGCTAAAAGTGTGTGCAAAAGGGAATGAAAGCATGATATGGTGGTCTTGGTCATAATCAAAAGCAAATAAACAAGCATTTGATTCCTGAGGATTTTAAATTTTTCAAGGATAGACAATACATCCCACAAAGAGCACAAATAAAACATACTTTTATCTTTCCACTTTCCCTTGTGTGGCTCATTCTCCCTCTCACTGTAACCACCTACAAGGATTCAGTGCCTTTCTATGGCACTTCATACTGAGGGCTTCCCTCCTGGGGTTTTGGTGAATGAGTGATACTATGAGTTTCAGAGGTTTTCTTCTCTCCTTGTCTCCATCAACATGTGCCTATTCAGAGTCTTGTTTTACCTCCTTGAGAAGGCAGTAGCCGTGTAAGTTAAGGGGAATTCTTATGCACAGTTTTTTTTTATTCTTTATATTTACTTATATATTCAAGCATTTATTTACATCTGTTAATAAATGTATCTCATGTGTCTTAGTTTGTGTAGGCTATTATAACAAAACACTGTAGATTAAGTGCCATATAAACAACAAACATTTATTTCCCATTGTTCTGGAGGCTGAGAAATCCAAAATCAAGGGGCCAAAACATGTGGTGTCTGGTGAGGGCCCTTTTCCTGGTTATTAGATGGTGCCTTTTAGCTGTATCCTCACATGGTGAAATAAACAAAGGATTTCTCGGGGGTCTCTCTACGGGCAGTAATCCCATATGTGGGCTCTACCTTCATTACTAATCACCTCCCAAAGTCCCTACCTTCTAAAAGCATTGCTTTAGGCTTAACATTTCAACATATGAATTTTGGGGGAACACACATTCAGACGATAGCATCGTGGACACTTACGTTATACTTTGGATTTTACTCTAACATTGATTTCTTTTCTTTTCTGTTTTTTTTTTTTTTTTTTTTTTGAGATGGAGTCTCACTCTCTTGCCCAGGCTGGAGTACAGTAGTGCCATCTTGGCTCACTGCAAGCTCCGCCTCCCGAGTTCAAGTGATTCTCCTGCCTCAGCCTCCCGAGCAACTGGGACTACAGGCACGTGCCACCATGCCCAGCTAATTTGTGCATTTTTAGCAGAGACAGTGTTTCACCATATTGGCCAGGATGATCTCGAAATCCTGACCTTGTGATCCACCCGCCTTGGCCTCCCAAAGTGCGTTGATTTATTTTCTTCCTCAAACTGTACCAGCTTTGGCTATTGGAAACTTTTGCAATTGTCTCCTCAGCTCCTTTGACATATTCCCATTATTGTGATTATGATTATTTTTGAACACTTCTTTACTTGCTCACACCAAAAGATGGTACAGTTCATCTTATACATTTTTAAAGAGTCCTGGTTCCTTTTATTGGAGGGTAGTATTAGAAACCAAGATCTGGGTGCTAGATGTATTCATTGTTACTGAGGTATTGTTGCTTCTAGGCCCTTTTTCCTGAAAGAGCAAGGGAATATTTATGTATATACTAAATCATACATATACATATATTCATAAATCTGTATATATGTAACCATTTGTATTTGTATGAAAATAAAAATGAGTTCATATTGCTATTTCCATTGCTAATCCATTACTGCATGGATTGTTCCAGCTATCTCCCTTAACTTATTTGTAGCCTCCCACTCTAACTCTGAGAAAACTGGCTCTAACCATCTTCCACTTATTTATCTAACTGTTAAATTCTAGTATACATAAATGATGCTTTTAAAACTGCTACCTGTACCTCTGTGGGAAACACCTTATCAATTAGAGTATAGTGCTGTGTATACTACCTTGTGCCTTTTGTCTTGATGAAACTTCCATTTCCAAAGTTATTTAGGTAACTTTTCCCTTTTCCTCTACCCTTTTCAGTGAGGTTGTTTCATAATTCCTCATACAGTGAGATTCTTTTGTCAAATTCAGCATTCCATGCTGGGATCCCCCCAAAACTTCTAAAGGAGTTTTAAAAAATTTGTATACATCAAGGTTCACTCTTTGTGTTTTAAAGTTCTAGGTATATCAACAAATGTAAAGTTTCATGAATTGACCACTATGGTGTCAGACAGAATAGTTCTGTTACCCTAAAAATGTTCTATGTGTATGTGTGCACACACACATTGCCCTGTTTGTACGATTATCTTAAAGACTAACATTGGTAAACTCGACTCTGTCTTTGGCCAAGAAAACGTTCAATCTGCAGACTTCTATGCATTGAAGTCCATGTGTCTGAAGGAACTGCCAAATTATTTTGCAGGTTTCCTTGGGGAGGACCCCCTTCAACAGGTATAGAAAGGTCCAATTATCCAAGGTTGGTCATTTACTAGTTCAGATACTGAAACATATTTTAGCTCAGGCATTCAAGCAAATGACCACAATTTACCTGGAAGTGAGTTAGAACTTTGAGAAACCACTCAAATTGTTGTGGGATAGCTCCCTTCACTACTGATTGGCAGCTTACCCTGAGTTCACAGGGCTCAGAAGCCCACCAGGATAGGTGACCTACTGTTAGCTAGTTAAATGTCTTTAGGCAATAATTCCATATACAAATAGAAAGATTTTAGTCAAAGACCTTACAAACACTTTATACTATTGTCAAACATTTGGGAGGACAGAAAAATGAAGATGCGGCTAATATTTATTGCAAGCTATTGAATTGTAGATATCATTCTAGGCCATTTAGGTCACATGTTCATTCTAAAAGTTCTAAAAATCTCAAGTAACAAAGATTTTACTTTGTTGAACCAATGTCACGATGCCTGTATAAATCATTATCTCCCTTCTTCTGAATCAGTACTGTGACTTTGTTTTCAAATGTTTATTTAACCTCTGTATGTGTGTGTGTATATATACATTTACTTTCTTTAAAATATGCCATATCAGGAACTCTTTCCAGTTGTCTTTTTGAGGTTTCCTAAATGCTGAGAAAGTCTACCTTTCTTACGCCTACTAAACATTGAATTGTCTGCTCTTTCCTGTTTGAGTCATATGAAATTGCCTCCACTGCTGTCCATAAAACAAATATTGGAGAAGATATGGGTACACTCACTTTTTTAAAAAAAAATCCTGGAATTTTAATACGTTAGTCGCTGAGATGCAGTAGTTTTCCTACCCTGATTGATGGAAACTCTTCTCCTTTGCTACAGTGTGTTTCTGATGAAAACCAAAGAGTTGTTTATACATTTTTTTTTCAGTTTGTAGACTTTTTCAAAACAAAAATGATGATTAATTTTCAGTTAAATTCTTTATTTTGCTTATGCAAGTATTGATAAACCTATTCACATTAAAAAGTCATTACATATGGAAATAGACCTAAAAAGAATAGTTGCCTTACCGTGTCAGGATTTGATTCAATTAAAACTGATTGAGTAACTTTGGAGGGGAACAGCAGAAAATCATATTTGTTTTAAAGTTGAGTCCCTAGCAATATCTATCATGGTCTTCATTTATTTTCAATAAATACGAAAGTTAAAATGTAAGTATTACCCCCAAGAATATGAACATGAAAACTCTTATAATGTGCTCTTCTTGTGATACAATGTTTTTGCTATGGTTTGAATGTTTTTGTTGCCTCCAAAATTCATGTTGAAACTTCATCCCCAATGAAATAGTAGTAGGAAGTGTGGCTTTTGGGAGGTGATAGAAGCATGAGCCCTCCACCTTCATTAATGAGACTAAATGCCCTTATAAAGGGATTTGATGGAGAGGCTTTGTCTTTTTTGCCCATTCCACCGTGTGAGGACACAGCATTTCTTCCCTCTGGAGGATGCGGTCACAAAATGCCATCTTGGAAGCAGAGAGCAGCCCTTGCCAGACACACAACCTGCCAGTGACTTGACCTTAGACTTCCCAGCCTCTAGAACTGTGAGAAATAAACATTTATTTTTTTGTAAATTACCCAGTCTGTGGTAATCAGTTGTAGTACACAAACTAAGACAGTGTTGTATTTTATGTAACTGTGCAAGAGACAATTATAACAAAATGAGAGCATACATTGATAAGATACATCTGAACCTTGTCTGGCATTTGGATTAGTGATTATGTAGTCATGCACAAGTCTAAAACATAACACAGGTCAGTGTAAATCATCAGTATGTTTAATAATAAATTTGTGAAGGTATACATATATGCAATGGGAACACAGGAAAAACTCTGTTACTAGTTTAGCGTAAAACTAAATTATCAGATAATTGCAAAAATTAACAAATGAGAATCCCAACAAGTCAAAATTTGGTATAAAATATTTGCATTTACATTTGTTTCCTGTTAAGTTTTTAAACTCTTTAAAAATAGATACAAAAATATTTTTAGTTAAACCTTTGCCACTCCCCTAGAACTTCTCTATAGAACTCATCAACAGTGCATCTCTATAGAACTGAGTTTGAAAATCAACTCACGCCTGTAATCCCAGCCCTTTGGCAGGCCAAGGCAGGCGGATCACGAGGTCAGGAGATCGAGACCATCTTGGCTAACATGGTGAAACCCCGTCTCTACTAAAAATATAAAAAAAAAATTAGCCGGGCATGGTGGCGGGTGCCTGTAGTCCCAGCTACTCGGGAGGCTGAGGCAGGAGAATGGCGTGAACCCAGGAGGCGGAGCTTGCAGTGAGTGGAGATCACGCCACTGCACTCCAGCCTGGGTGACAGAGCCAGACTCCATTTAAAAAAAAAAAAAAAAAAGAAAATCAGTACCTCAGCAGATGAGAAATGGATCAATCTATGGTGTGACTAGACAAGTTAATGTTAAAACTGAACACTGTGATGATGCATGGCAGCTCTGACAATACAAGTAGGATCAGAATGTAAGTGTGGAAATTCAGTGTCACTAGGGAAGAATGGGCTGAGAGAAAGTTTAATAGGTAGAGAATAATCATAAAGGAAAGAGTTGCCCCAGGACTGGAGGGGAACCAGGTGGAAGAGTTGATCCCGAGACTGATGTGACTGATGATTCTTATCAAATGCTCCTCTTTGCTGGCCTTGCTTAGAGCCTTCTTTGGTTGTTTTTAGTGGTTGCTTTCGACTCAAAAGTGATCTGTTTATTGTAGTGTGAGAGATCATATATTTGCAGTCATTGCTGTCCACGTTATTACTTGGATAGATGTTTTTCCCAGTTCCTGATTTTACGATAATCCAGTTCAAAGTGATATGCATGATATTTCAAAAACAGATGTCATAATCTTTTCTTTGTTTTTTAAATCATTAGATTGTCTAACTCATTGATATTTTTGAACATGGGCTTTCTGTTGCACTCCTCATCGAAGTAATTTTCATTATGTGTTGTTTTTTCTAAGTTTATTTATTTTTATTGCAAGTGGCCAAATGATAGGCCCTTTCTAGGGAACTATGTCTACACAAAATAAAATAAGGTTAAAATTATGCAATGAAACTGGCACTTCGGTGAGCTGTAAACCTTCTCTGTAGACATTGTCCTTAGATCATCCTCACACCTGTAATGTTGAATTATTCCCTCCCTAGGTTTCATTCCTAGCATTTCTGATCCTTAATCTCTGCTTATCCAGAAAGTCATTTTCAGTTCCAGGGCTAACTTCCTGAAATCCTCACAGATTGATTCAGGCTAAATCCTGTATTCAGGTTCATGTTGAATCCCCAACGAAAATTAATGGGATACGTGCAGCTGCATCTCTGGACAGACCACACCTCATCTTGCTTTCTGCAATCCCCGTCCCTCACTTGCCTAAAGTGCTTTGAGAACTGTTGTGACTACTTCAGAATGAACTATGTTTCTGTGACTCTTTCTTGCTGGCTCATTTCACAGGAAGCCCGAATTTACTTGTACATGGCTCACAGATCAATTTCTGCAGTGTGGATGTTTGTAATATACATAAATGTGTTGGATGAAGGCATTGAAATAAAATTTTTGAGTCTGCAAATTAAGCTGGAATTGAAATCAGAGAAAATAATGAAAGGCAATGAAAACTGATTCAAGGAGAAGTTTTGAGTAAGAGTGCCAACAGGCACCAAATCATTTTAAATGAAGGCAAATATTAAATAATTTAAGAGCGAAGAACCAAGCTGGAGACTATTTCTTAAATAGAATAATGAATCAGCAGTTCAATCATTATATGGTTTGAAAGTTATTATGGAAAAATCACTAAAGCTATCAACTCAAATAAAACCTAACAAGAAATTAATAGAAATATAATAATAGTGTGTATTTTGAAAGTGATGAAATACCTATCAAAACATTAAAAAATTATAATACAGGACTCTGATTATGTTACTGTAGAAATATTCTCATTTGCTTAAATTTGTGAGAGGGTTTCTTGAGTTGGAAAGCCCACAAAGATGCAAACTCTGATTTATTTTATAATGAATCTTCTTTCTGCAAATTCATTTCATTTTCCTACAAATGCATCACCTGCTTTTTTCTATAAGCTGCTTGTCTTAGTACAATTATCTACTTTGATAAGGTTGTGCTTATTATGTCATATTGCTTAGCTGTCATTTACCTAGCAGGTAAAATACATATTCAGAAGCTATATAATAACATAATAATGTTTAGCACATTCTTATCGTGCACTAGCTTGGATACAGACCTAAGCACTTTACATATAATTTATAAAATTTCTTTAAGGTAGGAACAATTAACATTTTCTTTTATTGATGGGGAGACTAGGAAGTTAAGTAAGCTGTGTAAGGCTCTACACAATTAGAAAAAGAGCCTGGATTCAAACCCTGGCAGTTTTTGCTTCAGAATCCATGTTCTTAATCACCATGTTATCCTTACAAATTCAGTGCAAGGCAAAAAGCATCATCATAATTTTTTTTTTTTTTTTTGAGATAGAGTCTTGCTCTTTTGCCCAGGCTGGAGTGCAGTGGTATGATCTTGACTCACTGCAACCTCTGCCTCCCGGGGTTCAAGCAATTCTCCTACCTCAGTCTCCTGAGTATCTTGGATTGCAGGTGCGTGCCACCACACCCAGCTAATTTTTGTATTTTTAGTAGAGATGGGGTTTCACCAACGTTGGTCAGGCTGGTCTGAAACTCCTGACCTCGTGATCCTCCCACTTCAGCCTCCCAAAGTGCTGGGATTGCAGGCGTGAGCCATTGCGTCCGGCCCATAACAACTTTTTTTAATGAAGAAACTGAGATGAGGAGTAGCTAAAAACAAAGAAACAAACAAAAAACAATGCTAAGGTTATAGAGTTCTTAAATAACTTTGGATTCAAATTTCATTCTAACTTTAAACTCTGTGCTGCTCCTACATGACATTTGCCTCATCTTATCTAAAACTTGTCATTCCTTATTTCTTTTTAAATGGGGATGAAGGAGATGAATTAATGACTCTGAACTGTAAACTGCCAAAATAAATAAGTTAATATGCATTTATTTGTTTATAAGCTCAAGTACCTGCCTAAACTTCACTAAATTTTGTATTTTTATACCTGGTCATAAGATGAAAATTTCTTACTGAAAAGTAGGTTGTGTTGTTTTAACAAGCAAACTGAAATGAAATCTTGAATGAAAACTATAATTCAACAGTGCAGTACAATTATATACGTTTGAATATTTATATTATATATATTATATATTATATATATATTATATATGTACCTATTTGAATAACATATATTCACACACACACACACACATACACACACACCTTAAAGGTGGCATGGGAATGGAATGTTTAAGAAAAATAAAAAGGCTAATTTTGGCTGTGATGATTTCATCCTTGAGGACACCTCCAGAAGGTGAGATTACAGAGCTAAAACCTGTGGAACTTCCAACTCACTACTATATCATAACTTGAAATCTAGAGCTCTTTCTTTGAAAGGATGATCTAAGGACAGCTATATACAAATATATAATAAAAGGGGAAGAAAAAATAATGTAAAGCAAAAATTATTTTCCCAAAAATGTTACAATAGAAGTCCACATGTTTCACAGTTTGGGTACATGGTTTAAAATCCACCTGCTCACTGGGAAGCAGCAGCCACTAAGAAATAGATGCACCTCTAGGGGCTGGGAAAAGGTCCAGTTCAGTGAAAGGAATATGATGTTCTAATGTGACAAACAAGAGGAGTTCGCAGTTCAGGTAGACGGTGGGCTTCATGGATATCAAACCACCATAATGGAAATGTTGCAATTGATAGGCATGGTGATCAAGAGTTCAAAAGTCATGTCCACAATTTGGGGGTTTTTAGAGCTCTACATAGGGAAATTTCTCAGTAACGGTTGTGTTGGGGTTTTGAGGTAAGCCATCATCCCATCTAGGTGAACTTGTAAGAATAAGGCAAACTTTAGTTCTAGAAGTATTAGGTAACTCATAAAGACAAAGGTCAGGCTTAGAGATGAGATGTAATACAGAAGCAGCTCAGGACAATACTGGGTGACAGTGAGGACTGGACTGAACTAACAACAAGAGTGACTTCATGTTGATACCCAGACTGGTACCATCCTTGATCTTGGAGAGGCTTCAATCTTTTAGGTATTGGGTCATATGGCTCATCTGAAAGAAGAGGTAAATCTCTAAGGCTAGAACCTAGGTAGAGGTTAACAAGGTGTATTTCAGAAACCTCAGATTAATTAAATGAGTGTTTCAAACACATGTATTTTATTGACAGTTTTTCCCTTGGGAAAAATGACAAGAAACCATATTTTTTAGACTAATGGAACAGAATAGAGAACCCAGAAGTAAATCCATACATCTACAGTGAACTCATTTTCTACCAAAGTGCCAAGAACAGACATTGGGGAAAAGGCAGTCTCTTCAATAAATAGTGCTGGGAAAACTGGATATCCATATGCAGAAGAATGAAACTAGACCCATATCACTTACCATTTATAAAAATCAAATCAAAATGTATTGAAGACTTAAATCGAAGCCATCCAACTATGAAACTACTACAATAAATCATTGGAGAACTTCTCCAGGACATTGATCTGGGCAAAGATTTCTTGAGTACTACCCCAAAAACACAGGCAGCCAAAGCAAAAATGAACAAATTGGATTACATCAAGTTAAAAGCCTTCTGTGCAGCAAAGGAAACAATCAACAAAGTGAAGAGACAACCTATAGAATGGGAGAAAA
This sequence comes from Homo sapiens, assembly GCF_000001405.40. Lineage (NCBI taxonomy): Eukaryota > Metazoa > Chordata > Mammalia > Primates > Hominidae > Homo > Homo sapiens. The sequence goes on from NC_000007.14 coordinate 89,100,547, forward strand.
TATTTGCAAACTATCTCTCTGACAAAAGATTGATTACAATAATATATAAGGTGTTCAAACTACTCAATAGGAAAAAATCTAATAATCTGATTAAATATGGGTAAAAGACCTAAATAGACATTTTTTAAAAGAAGACACACAAATGGCAAACACATTCACAATATAAATGTGGTTCATATTGTCACCCATAAAGAGATATGAATATGTTCTATTTTAATCATTTTTCTTCAAACTTAAATTCATTAATGGAATATTCCATTGTATGCCTGTAACAAATTATCTCACATACTACATAAATACATATACCCACTATGTACTCAAAAATATTAAATAATTAAAAGAAACCATAATATAAAAATGAAGTTTCAAGGTTATATGTGTGTGTGTGTCTGTGTGTATGTGTATATACACAGGTATGTATATATTTAACCTCTGTTCCATTGGAAAACCAAATGTAATTCATACCAAACCACCCACAAAAAGAAATGATACATTCTATTGTCATCATTTTTCTTCAAACTGAAATTCATTAATGTAATTCAAAAAGCAATGCAATTTCAAAAGAAATCATTTAATGTAGCAGTTTTAGTGCACACAGTCTGATTCAAGAGCATTTCATTTACTCATGGGCACTATGGCAAAACTCCATAATCTGTATTCATTATATAAAACAGTTCCTCCGGCAGGCATGTTTAGCTTTGAGCTATTTTCATGGTGTGCATATCACCAATTTGGCGAGGTTGGCATTCAAACAGAAGTATCAGAAGTGAATATTTTGTATACTTATCAGATATATTCATTTATGACAATATTTCTATTTTTATAAAACTCTCAAAGTGATATTCTCTATTTGATATACAGTGTAGTTTTAATGATGAACATAAACGGCTACTCCTGTTTAAAATATAAAATTGGATCTACTTATGGTAATAAAATATATTAATTATTTCTCACTTTTAAGACTATAAAGAAGTCTAACTCACATTTATAAAAGGTGTGAAAAATTCAATTTCTCACAACCTAAAAAGCATACAAAATTTTACTAGTTTTATTACGTAAAATCAGGAATAATTGATTATAAGTAACTGATGTAAAGGTAATGTAAAAACTACCTTTCTTTTCACACTTAATTTATATATGATATTACAAATTTATTTATGTATTCATTTATTTGTTTTAGATTCGGGGATACAAGTGCTTGTTTATACATGGATATTACATGCTTAATGGTAGGGATTGGGCTTTTAGTGTACACATTATTTAAGTGTTGGATATTATACCCAATAGGTAATTTTTTAATCCTCATCCCCCTTCCTTTTTCCCTCCTTTTAGAGTCTCCAGAGTCTATTCCTTCCATCTTTATCTACATGTGTGCCCTTTGTTTAGCTCCCACTTATAAGTGAGAACATGCAATATTTGATTTTCTGCTTCTGTGTTAGTTCACTTAGGATAATGGCCTCCAGCTCCATTCATTTATAGCTGTGTAGTATTCCATGGTATATATACACCACATTTTTTTAATCCAATCAACCATTGGGGACACAGGTTGATTCCATGACTTTGCTATTGTAAATGGTGCTGTGATAAACATGTGAATGCAGGTGTCGGTTTTACATGATTTCCTTTCCTTTGGGTAGATATTCAGTAGAAGGATGGCTGGATAGAATAGTAGTTCTATTGCTAGTTCTTTGAGATATTTCCAAACTGTTTTTTCCATAGAGGTTGAATTAATTTGCATTCCCACCAACAGTATGTGAGCATTCCTTTTTCTTCATATCTGTGCCAATGTTTGTTTTTCTGTTTTGTTTTGTTTTGTTTACTTTTTAATAAAAACCATTATGAGTGGTATAAAATGATATCTCAGTATAGATGTTGCATTTCTCTGGTTAGTAATGTTGAGCGTTTTTTCATGTGTTTGTTGGTCGCTTGTGTTTCTTCTTTTGAGAAATACCCGTTCATGTCCTTTGCTCAGTTTTGAATGGGGTTGTTTGTTGCATCTTGAGTTGTTTTGGGTTCTTTGTAGATTGTGCATATTAGTCCTTTGTCAGAGGTATAATTTGTAAACAGGTTCTCCCATTCTGTAGGTTGTCTGTTTATTCTGCTGGTTACTTCATTTGCTATGCAGAAGCTTTTTAGTTTAAATTTTATTTGTCTATTTTTGGTTTAGTTAGATTTGCTTTTGGAGTCTTTGTCATAAATTATTTGCTTAGGCCAATGTCTAGACAATATTTTCCTAGGTTTTCTTCTAATATTTTTATAGTTTCAGGTCCTACATTTAGGTGTTTAATCCATCTTGAATTAATTTTTGTATATGGTGGGTGAGAGATAGGTGTCCAGCTTCATTCTTCTGCATATGGCTAGCCAGTTTTCACAGAACCATTTATTGAATAGGATGTCCTTTCCCAATTGTTTATTTTTGTTGACATTATCAAAGATCAGTTGGTTATAGACAGTGGTTTTATTTCTGGGTTCTCTATTCTATTCCATTGACCTATGTGTCTGTTTTTTTTTTTTTTTTTTTTTTTTTTTTTTTTTTTACCAATACTGTGGTGTTTGGTTATAATAAACTTGTAGTATAATTTGAAATCAGGCAATGCAATGTCTCCAGAATTGTTCTTTTAACTTAGGAATGCTTTGGTTATTCAGGCTTTTTTTTTTTCCTGGTTCTTTTTTTTCTGCTATGAACTTGAAAATTGTTTTTTCAAATTCTGAGAAAAATGATGTTGGTAATTTGTCAGAAATTATATTGAATCTAGAGGTTGCTTTGGGTAATGTGGTTATTTTAATGATATTGATTCTTCCAATCAATGAACATTGGGTATTTTTCCATTTATTTGTGTCATTCATAATTTATTTCATCAGTGATTTGTAGTTCTTCTTGTAGAGATATTCCATTTCCTTGGTTAAATGTATTTCTAGGTATTTTGTGTGTGTGCATGTGTGTGTGTGTCTACTGTAAAAGGGATCAAGTTCTTGATTTGGTTTTCACCTTGAATGCTATTGGTGTACAGAAGTGCTACTGATTTTTGTTTGCTGATTTTGTATCTTGAGACTTTCTGTATCTTGAGGTCTGTGAGTCTTCTAAAGAGGTCTTTAGGGTTTTCTAGGTATATAATTATGTTATTAGTGAATAGAGAACTTTGACTTCCTCTTTACAATTTGGATTCCTTTTATTTCTTTCTCCTGCCTGATTGCTCTGGCTAGGACTTCCATTATTATGTTAAATAGGAGTGGTGAGAGCAAACATAATTGTCTTGTTCTAATTCTTAGAGGAAATGCTTTCAACTGTTCCTCATTCAGTATGACATTGGTTATGGGTTTGAAATATATGGCTGTTACTATTTTGAGGTGTTTTATGTACAGCTAGTTTGTTGAGGGTTTTTAATCATGAAGGCATGTTTAATCTTATTAAATGCTTTTTCTGCATCTAATTGAGATAACCATATGGTTTTTGTTCTCAGCATTGTTTATATAGTGGACAATGTTAATTGATTTGCATTTGCTGAACCATCCTTGCATCCCTGGAATAAAGACCTCTTTATCATGCTGAATTGTCTTTTTGATGTACTGTTGGATTCAGTTTGCTAGTATTTTGTGGAAGATTTTTGCATCTATGTTCATCAGGGTTATTGGCCTGTAGTTGTCTTTTTTTGTTGTTGTGTCCTTGCCTGATTTTACTATTAGGGTTATACTGGATTCATAGAATGAGTTAGGAAAGGATCTCTCCTCTTCAATTTCTTAGAAATAGTTTGAGTAAGATTGGCACCAGCTCTTCTTCATACACCTGGTAAAATTCAGCTGTGAATCTATCTGGTCCTGGGCATTTTTTGTTGGGAGATTTTTCTACTACTGATTCAATGTTCTTCTTCATTATTGGTTTGTTCAGGGTTTCTATTAATATTTCCACCTGGTTCAATTTTGGGAGTTTGTGTGTTTCCAGAAATTTATCCATTTTCCCTAAGTTTTCTAGTTTGTGTGAATAGAGATGTTCATAGTAGTCTCTGATGATGTTTCATATTTCTTTGGTATCAGTTGTCATGTCACCTTATTTTTCTGTTGGGACAAGTCCCATGACTCTCTCCTTTTTTTCCCTCTTATTTTCACCTCTATCAATGTTTTCTTTATTTACCTTATTTTTAAATAACCTTTAAATTTTTTCCACCTTCTTGGGATGAGTCCTTTGATTCTCTGCTCTATCCTTCACTCTTCTCTTGTTAATTAGCCTAATGTTTTTATTAATATTTGTAAGATCTGTGAGGTGACTCTGAGGCCATAAATTTGACAATGCTTCTGGAACTGCTACTTGATTCTGCAGGAATCAAATACTTATCTGTGATTGTTCAGTAGTGAGCTGTTTGTCCTGAGTCAACGCAAACATGTTCTTCTACTGTGCAGCATAAAAAACTAAAGACACTGCTGCCAAATTAGTTACTCACAACCCATTTTAGTAAAGGTTTCTCAGGAAGCTGATGATACCAATCTAAAGAATGGAACAATTCGCTTAAACTATACCTTCTGATTTCAATGGTTACTTGGTTTTGCCCTTCTCCTACATTTACTACCTTCTTAGTAACCACAGGTCTCAGAGGTAGTTTCTGTTGTCTCTGTATAATTCTGCCCTTCAGGGGTTGTCTCTGAGTCTAGCTCAGAAAGACTCATATCTGAGCATGGTCCAGTCTTAAGGCTTGACCCAGCACTCTCTTTTAATTTCATTGTAACTGTTATAGATAACAATAACCAAGGAATTAAACATTTCACTTTTTTATTAGTTTGCATTTCCTCATGCATCCAATGAACGGACTCCTTGGGAGTCAGATTTATCTCTAAATTCCATGGATAGCTTTTAACTTTAGTAACTGAACTAAAGCACAGTTGTTGTTTCATACCATGGGTGACCACATGGCCACCCAGGAATTTGAGGTTTTTTATTCCCTACCCTTATATGCATTCTTTCCCCAGCCCATATGTTTCCTTGACCGTGGGCCAGTCCAGCAAATCCAACTTCACTGACACCAACTGGGTAGGGGAAAACTATCTCAACCCATGTTTGCCTCCACTCTCACACAACTATAACCATCATCAACACAGAAGACTTATGTAACCAAAGGTACGGGGCTTTCGTCTCACACAGCAAGCAACACACACGTGTTGGGTGTTCCCCAATTCAGTTTTGTCAGTATTTACCTGGAAATAGTTTCTGATCTCACAGGTCCCCAAGGATACCTCTGACATTCCCAGATACCAGTAGCAAGCCCAGCCAGACCTCTGAAACTTCTAACCAACCAGCTTCATGTTGGGGTTCCCATGACCCCTTTGTTAGGTTCAATTAATTTGATGTAGTGGTTCACAGAACTCAGGGAAACACTTATATTTGCTGTTTCATTACAAAGGATATTACAAAACATACAGATGAAGAGATGCATAGGGTGTGGTCTGCAAGAAGAGTCATGGAGCTTCCATGCTTCCTCAGGTACAACACCCTCTAGGGACACCCATGTGTTCAGCTCTCTGGAAGATCCATACATTTATTTAAAAGCACTTACAAATAAAATATAAGTTCCAAATGGCAGAGATGGTGTCAGTACTATTCCCTGTTTTACACCTAGTGTGTGGCATGGAGCCCAGCATCTATGGGTACTCAAGAAAAACTTGTAAGATGTATGAATTCAAAGAAAATTTCAAAGATTTGTGATATATCACTTACTGTTACATGTTTTTGTTTTCTCAGTCAACATGTGCTAAAAGCATAGCCATTATCCTGAGCTGGTCTGTGAAACTTTACATATTTAAAGGAGTTTTTTATACTTTAAAAGATTGGGCACCAGTGTTTATACTACAGAATTAGTAATGACTTCTAGTATTATGTGCTAGATCCTCTGTGTTTTAAACTGGGTGATATAGTAATGAATGCTTTTGGAAACTAGCCCGAGATTGATGGCTTGTGTAGAGAGAAATTGGAGAGTTAGATGAGAAAAATGGATCCATATTGATCTATTACACTTCTGAATGAAGAATTGATAATACTATTACAATCTAATGAAAAGAAATACAATTAGAAGAAGCCATTCTTTAAGAAAGTCCCTTACTTCCACCAAAAGGAACTAGAAGGTAGGAAGACAACATAGAAAAATCCTGTAGCAATGTAGGCCTAAGGTTTAAAACAGACTGGATTGGGAGGATGGCTAGAGAAATCTGTGAATAAAGAGATAGGTAAGTGATATGTTTTAGAATACAAAAACAAGACCAAGCTAATATGGAGGAAGAACTGGAGTGGCAGAACAGAGAATATCCCATGTTTTCAAGTAGGAGATACATTATATCTTTGAATAAACTGAGGACAGCATGTTGTTGGAGGGAGTAAGATGATGAATTTGGTTTTGGAGCTGTAAGGATTTGACAGCTATGTGACTCACAGAAATATTTAACAGGAGTTGTAAATACAGTACTGAAACTCAGATAAAGAACATCTATGGAGATGTTATTACAGTTGTTAAAGGCACAGTTATTAAAGGGAAAATGAAGTGAAGAAAATGAATGAATTCTTCAAGAACATATTCCAATTGGAAATTGCCCTGGTAGTTTTACATATTAGTTAATAAGTAAACCACTTTTTATTTATAATGTATTCATAAAGTTTTAGATTATAATAGTGGAGTAGTTTATTATTCTTTTGATATTTAGAATAACTTTTTGATATCATGCATGATGATAGTTATTTTAATGTGTGTGATTTGAGAATATAGTGATGAATTATAAATTTAATGATCCTTTTACATGAATTTATGTAATCACTGCTGCTAGATACATTAGTAATAGTTTCCATATGTTTGAGATATCTATAATGGAGTGGATTGTAAAATATAAATTGATGAGTATTTTCCAGCTTTCCTATTTCAGCCACCAACACTCCTTTCTTAGCAAATCTATGGGGATACTCTTAGTGCCTTAGGAATTATCCGTAGCTGAGAATAATAACTTCACATCTTTTTAGGATTCTAAGTCTAAAAGACAGAAATTATAAACTCATTAGCGGATACATGTGAACAGGAAAAACCAGCATTTCTCTTCCTGTCAAACAAGATATTTGACCCTTCAACTGGAGAGAATCAGTGTATGTGCATTCTTTTCCTTTACCCGATGAATCTGGGTGGCTTGAAAAGAATGATAATTTCCTTGAAAGTGTTTATAGAACAATGGAGTTGTATCCTATGTCTCAGACATAATCCATACAAAAAGAACAAGCTTAGAGAGCCACAGACAATTTCCAAAACTTCACCGCTATTACTAAGCGGCATGGGGGGTATTCTCTGAATTTCCTTTGGGTTCTATGCAGGCTGGGGAATTGAGAGAAACAGTGGGTCCTTCCCGGAAGGTCGCCTGACTACAAAGAAGAGATGAGCATTAAAAAGTTGTACTGTGGGCCATAAGCCTGAAGCTAAAGAAGGAAATGTCTCAATCTCCTAAGACTGTCACAGCCAGGAAGTCAAAGGGGGCTGAACCACAGAGGGAAGAGAAAGCAATCATGAAACATCTGAACCGATTGGTAATAGAATGCAGTTTTACTGTATGAAAAACAGGACATGTAGGCAAAAACAACTTAAGATTAGAACAGTTTGATGATTTTCCTCCTTTTAACCTCTTTGTGGGCATTAGTTATGAAGTTATATAATTAGCTGCTTTTTTTTTTTTCTTTTCTTCCACCTGCTAGGGAGTGATGATAGGTGGCTTTTATCTCGACAGAAAGTACACGGAGGGAAGAACATAGGCTTGGAGGCTGATTCTTCTGGGTATTCTCTGCTACAGAGAGAGGAAGAAGTTGTGGAGTCACTGGCTTCTAATGAAAGACAGATCATGACTGGCCATCTACATACATGAGGAGGGAAGGAAAAGTATCTTACTTTTTATATTATAGAATAGTTTTCAGACCTTAGCTCAAAAGAGCCTCACTTTTAGAAACTTTTTATTATTCTAGAATGATTTCACTCTCTTTGAACAATCTCACAGGTCATCTCTGGAAAAGTGATCTTATTTGGAAATACAGTAGCAATGCAACACGTTTAATGGTCTCTCTGACATGACAAAAGGCAAAGGAAACTGATCCTATTGGATGTGGCAAGATCTAGGTCAATGGTGACCTTTTAGAGAAACATTTCTGTAGAAGGCCTGGCAGGAGACAAATTGCAAGGGAACAAAGAAGAAATAAGTGTGAAAAGTAGAGAAGAAATGACTGAAGATCAAGAAGAGTGCTCACAAAAAAATAAGTGGTAAGCAAAAGGGCAAGAGTTAGAAAGGTTAACCTATATAAAATTCAGGCTAAAAAGGAGAAATACATTGCTTGAAAACACCAGAGGAAGAAAAGAAAATTAGTTCCTGAATTTCTGTTGCATTTAAACTGCATATATATTTAATAAGTTCAGGCTTTCATGCAGAGCTGTGTCATTAGTATTGGAGGGGAAAAAAGTCCAACTAATAGTTATAATCTATTAATAGGGATGAAGTAAATCATGTTTGGGTATAATTAGTAAGAGAACATCAATAAAGGAGAAAAATTTTTTAAATCTAATAGACCTAGAATAAATCACGCATTACTTGTAATTACCAGGAAAATACTTGGATCATGGCAAATGATTTGACAACATGGTTCTGTTTAATTTACCAACCTATTTTAAATGGAAACATAATGCTTGCAATGTATTTTACTGTCTATTCGTTACACAAGCACATTGAGATAATAATGAGAATACCATGAGATAGTAAAGAACTACTTGTTCTCTTGAAGAGTTATGAGAATAGCCAAAATGTTCAAACTTCACATTAAATTTTATATCATGATGTTAATTTATTTTAAATTTACTCTGTCATTCCAATGAGAATGGCTTTCTCTGCCAAGGTTTCTGCAAGCTGTCAATTGTCCCAATGCTGGCTGTTGATCTCCTAGGCAGATTTGGGCCATAACACAGCCCTTTGCACCCAGTTACTAGGAATAATTGAAATTCATCAGTTTTCCACATTTTGATTTCATTTTCTTGGTAACTTCTCTTTCACAGACTCTCATTCCCACATTTTTGCATTACTGCTGAAGTCTGGAAATTAGTCTTCATCACATTGTTCTTTCATTCCCTCTTTACTCAAATGCCTAATTAATCTTCTTTAAGCATAGCTTAAATCATTCTACTCTCTTTTTCAAAAATCAGTAGCACCTCTGACCTTCTATTTTGTTAGCCTTTAGTTGAATTTTTATTTTGCTCTTTTCTGGGAGATGAAATATTTTATTTTGTCACTCTACTCCTAAAGTGAGTTTATATGTCTTACTAGTGCATAATTCATCTCACCTGATACACTTTTAACTTATTTATATGTTGAAAGTAAATGCATTATATAACTATTTGGGCCAAACTCTGTTTTAGGTCCCAGTAATATGAAGGTGGATATGCAGTTGAGGGAAAAAAAAGACAAAAATACACAGCATTTGCCTTTGAAGAGACCACCAGTTTGTTATGGCAGCAGATGATAAAACCAGTGATTCCAAAATAGAATTGAGAAAAAAACGAGAGTACAGACAGGAAAGGATAATGTTTCAGAAAATTTTCAGTGGTAGGTGGGGTGCTAGGTAAAGGTGAGTCACCAGGAGGTGTACCAGGTGTGTTGTATAGCACAACAAAACTGCCATACAATATAGTATATTCAGAAAACTAATTACAGTAGTTCAATAATACTAATTCATGAGAAACCAGATAGGTTATCTAGTGAGCTGATGAGAGGTCCTCACAGAGTTTAAACAGGGAAGTACCATGGTAAAATTTGCAATTTAAAAACATCATTTTGGAAGCAATGTGGTAGATGGGTTTGAGTTGAATGAACCAAAGTCAAGTTAACTAGGTAGAGAGCTATCACAGCAATGTGGAAAAGGAATAATGTGGTTCTGGACAAAGGGAGTGTCAGCATGAACAGAGTTAAGGAGACAGATATAAGTGACAGCTCAAAGACTTTAAAAACAAATATACTTTATATTTCATAGTAATTTTAGGTTTACAGAAAAGTTGAACAGAAAGTATAGAGGGTTCTATATGCTTTCTTAAATGCTGCCTGAGTTTCTCCTATTATTAACATCTTGAATTAATGTGGTATATTTGTTACAATTAATGAACCAAAATTGATACATTATTAACTACAGTCAATAGTTTACATCGGGTTTCAGTCTTTGTATTATTCAATTTTATGGAATGTAGAGAAACAAAAATGCACAATATAATATGTGAACCATTACAGTTACAGTATTGTACAGAATAGTTTTCCTGCCCTAAATATCTACTATTTTTTTTCATTCATCTCTCCTCTCCTCCCACCACCACCCTAAATCTCAGGCAACCACTGATCTTTTTACTGTTTCTATAGTTTTTCTTTTTCAAGGTTGTCATATAGTGGGAATCATATAATATACAGCTTTTACAGATGGCCTTCTTTCACTTCGTAATATGATTCTAAGTTTCCTCCATGTCTTTTTATGGCTCGGTAGCTCATTTCTTGTCATTTTTAAATAATATTCTGTTGGCTGGATACACCACAGTTTATCTCCAACCATTGAAGAATATCTTGGTTGCTTCCAAGTTTTGACAATTATGAATAAAGCTGCTATAAACATTTGTGTGAAGGTTTTTGTATGGACATAAAAGTATTTTTAAACTCACCTGGACAAAGATCAAAGAATGAATGCTGAATCATTTGCTAAGGGTTTTATTTCACTTTGTAAGAAACTGTCAAACTGTCTTCCAAAGTGGCTGGTATGAATTTGCATTCCCTTCAGCAATGACTGAGAGTTCTTGTAGCTCCACAACCTCTCCAGCATTTCGTGTCAGTGTTCTGGATTCTAGCCATTCTAGTAGGTGTGTAGTATTGCCTTGTTGTTTTAATTTGTAGCTCTGTAATGACAGATAACGTTGAGTATCTTTTCTTATGCTTATTTGCCACATGAATGTCTTTAGTGAGTTGTCTGTTGAGAGTTTTTCACACTTTTTAGTTGTATTTTTATTGTTGCATTTTAAGAATTGTTTGTATGGCTTAGATAAAAGTCTTATCACATATGTGTTTTGCAAATATTTTCTCTCAGTCTGTAGCTTATCTTTCCTTAATTTTAAGTTTCTTTCTCAGAGTAGAAGTTTTTCATTTTAATAAAAATCAACTTATTAATTTTTTCTTTCACGGATTGTCCTTTTAGTGTTGCATCTAAAAACTGATTGCCAACACAAAAATGTGAATATATTTAATGCTATAAAATTGTATTCTTAAAATAGTTAAAATAGGGCTAGGTGCACTTTGGGAGATCAAGGTGGGCAGATCACTTGAAGTCAGGAGTTTGACACCAGTCTGGCCAATATGGTGAGACTCCATCTCTACCAAAAACTAGAGAAATTAGGCAGAGTGGTGGGGCGTGCCTGTAGTCCCACAGCTGTTTGGGAGGCTGAGGCCGGAGAATCGCTTGAACCTGGGAGACCTAGGTTGCAGTGAGCTTAGATCATGCCACTGCGCTCCAGCCTAGGTGACAGAGTGGGACTCTATCTCAAAAAAAAAAAAAAAAAAGTTAAAATGGCAACACTTTTATGTCATATACATTTTACAATGGACAGACTACACAAAAACTCATTGCCAAACTGAAGATCACATAGATTTTCTCCTAAGCTATCTTATAAAACTTTAATAGTCTTAGATATGACATCTAGGTCTATGATTTATTTTGAGATAATTTTTGTGAAAGGCATAAAGGTCAGTGGCTAGGTTCATTTTCTTGCATGTGGATGCCCAATTATTCCTCTACCATTTGTTGAAAAGGCTGTCTTTTCCCCACTGAATATCCTTTGCTCCTTTGTCAAAAATAAGTGGACCTTATTTATTTGAGTCTATTTCTGGGCTCTCTATTTTGTTCAATTGATCTATTTGTCTGTTCTTTTGCCATTACCACATTGTCTTGATTACTGTACCTTTATAGTAAGTCTTGAAATTGGTTTTTGTCAGTCTTCCAACTTTCTTCTTTTTATGTAATTTTGTGTTTGCTATTTTGGGATTTTTGCCTTTTCATACAAGCTCTAGAATCAGTTTGTCAATAAACACAAAGTAATTTGCTGGGATTTTGATTGGAATTGTGTTAAATCTATAGATCAAGTTGGGAAGAATTGACATCTTAATAATATTGAGGCTGCATAGTGCTTATTTTAAGTAAAGAGTGAAGAGAGAGGAATTAGGGATTACTTCTATACCTCAAATTAGGACAACTAGGTGCGTCTTGACCCTCAGTTGGGTATAAACGGAGGTACAGATTTTGAAGTGATGATGATAAATTAGATGTTAGATATTTAGAATTTGAATTGCCAAAGGGCAACCAGATAGATATAATCACCATGCAATTGAATAATCAGATATGGAATACAGGGGCCTGGCCTGGATATAAAGATTTAAAAATCTTCAACATACATATAATTTATTGCTTATGGAGAAAATAGATGTGGGGGAGAATATGTGAGAAGATGTTAGGAAATATAAAAATGTTCAGTGTGAATATAGAAGAAGTTGCCCTGGAAGGAACTATAGTGAAAATGTCAGAGGTGAAATAAAATAAAACAATCCACAGCAGATGAGGTTGTTTTGGAAGCCACATGAGAAAATGATTCCAAAAGGAACTTGTCAGTATGCCAAATTAACATAGCATGAAGATAGTTTGTTCACTATATCTGTGTGATGGGATCATCGTACAACGGGCCTCAATGGCATGCAATTTACCCATGTAATAAACCTGCACATGTAATAAACCTGAACCTAAAATAAAAGTCATAAAAGAAGAAAAAAATAGCATAAAGAGTGAAAGCGCAAGGGGAAACCAAATTTCATGGACATGAAATAATGGAGACACAAGTATGAATAACTCTTATAAAACAAATGCTTAACTTGAGAGAAGGATCAATATAATTAAAGGAGGATGATAAAAGGACTAGGGAGGGTATTTTGTAATCATCTCACGCTCATTTTCATCATTACCATCATTGCCATCAGTCTCATTATTTAGCTGGGACAAATTGGTGTATATTTATATATTGAGGGCAAATAACTAGTTCAAAATTGAAAGGTAAAAAACAGGCCAGGCGCTGTGGCTCATACCTGTAATCCCAGCACTTTGGGAGGCCAAGGCGGGCAGATCATGAGGTCAGGAGATTGAGACCATCCTGGCCAACATAGTGAAACCTCGTCTCTACTAAAAATACAAAAATTAGCCGGACATGGTGGCATGCCTGTAATCCTAGCTATTCAGGAGGCTGAGGCACGAGAATCGCTTGAACCAAGGAGGCAGAGGTTGTAGTCAGCCGAGATCGTGCCACTGCACTCCAGCCATAAAAAAAAAAAAGGGAACACATTTTCCCAAAGTAATTAAAAGGAATTTCCTTCCAGGGATAGGTGCAAGAATTAAGCTTAAACTGGACAAGACACTTTTCTCTCAAGCAATTAATAAGTAAACAGAAGTGGTTGAAGAATGAGAACAAGCTTGATGTTTAAACCTTAGCCAAAAAATAAAGAAAAAAATATAAATTATTAGTATCTAATAATCACTTGGATACTAATCATTTGATTATTGGACACTAGTAAAAGTTAATTAAAAGTAAATTAACTAATAAATGTTAATCAAAATATTTCTCCTCTCAACCTGAATAAATGTTCAAGAAAATATTTAACTTACTTCCAATATGTTTTACTTCAAAATTTAGCTTTGGCATATTGGATATAAAGTGTGGAAATTTTCAACTCCTTCTCCCTAAAATCATGCAAAATATGCAAATGAAATTGAGCCATGGTTCAATGAAGCAATTCACCAGGCTCTTTGTCATTACTGAGAATAATGACAATGCAGAGATGTCAGACATTGCAGCACATTTGAATCTCCCAGTATACTTTGTACAAATCTCACATAGATGGATGAATAAGACATGAAGTTTAGATATGGGTTTGCTCCTTGAATGATATCTGGTGCCACTAGTTTCAATCTTTCTTATTGATGCTCTTTTTGCATTGCTCTTTGTCAGTCAGGATTCACTCATAGAGAATTTAATGCAGGTAATTGATTACACAGATGTGAAAAGGCCTGAAAAAACAGAATAGAGGAAAAAGAAACATTCCAGATTTTAACTGCATAATCATTCTTAAGGCTGAGGGAAGAATAGTAGGCTATGGGGTCACCAGTGCTTAGAATCATGGAGGGTTGAGCCAGTGCTGAAACCAGGAAAGGTAAATTCATGAAGGTGTTGGGAACTTCGAGAGGGTCTGAGCACTGATGGTAGGCTAAGATAAATGTTCTGTGTTGTAGCTACTAGAACTGCAAAAAACAAAAACAAAAACTATTAAACATTTAGCTTTACACGTTTATAGAGACCATAACCAAGTATTTTTTTTCTGTCTTCCTGCTTTCCTTTTTCCTATGAGTTCCTCTAATGGAAGAAACTTAACTAGAAGTCAGCTGGCCAAGGAATGTGGAAAACATAGTTAACAGGGCCCTAACTCCCTTAAAATGCATAATAGAACATAGAGGGATAGAAGAGGGAATCAAGGTCAAGCACATTTATGATTGGCAAAATGAACTCTCCACCTGGAGCATTGTTTGACAAGATTCCCGAATGAAAGAGGGTTTTAAATGAAAATAACCATTACCTCTGTCATCCACTCAACAGTATATTTGAATTCAAGACATTCCAAACATGGGCCAGAAGACCTAATTTTTAATGAGAGCTTTACTCTTAACAGGAAAATAAGGAAAACATCTACAACAAGTGTATACTCAGGAGGATTCACAGAGACTGTATTTTGAACTGGCTCATTGTTTGGTGTCCTGAAGGTTTTCCCACCCCAGGGAGATGCATCCTATTAAGACAACACATAGATGAGATTACAGCAGTATTGGGTACAGTAGGAGACAGGGTCATACAGTGGAGAAGAGTAAGACATCTTGAGCCCAGATGTATTTTTAGGCACATACATTTAGGAAAGATAATGGATGGAAGTTGATGATCTAAAAATTGGTTTCTATAAAAATACCACAATCCTGTACCTCTTGGAAAGTCTTATGAACTTCTCTATGTATACTTCACCTTGAAAACTGCTCTTATAGATGATTAAGAAATTGTGTATATTTAAATAATAATAAAGCTCTAAAAGGTTGTGCAATGAACTTTAGTATGAAATGATAGTTCTTTGTAGTTTTTAGCCTATTGCAAACATATTCAATTTCTGAAGGGAGAATCAAGATTTTGCCTCTTTAAAGTCAAGTCAACATTATTACTGAGCATTAATTAATCACGTATTTAAAGGTCAACAGGTTTTTTTGTTTTTTTTTTTCTTTTTTTTGACAAGAGTCTCACTCCAGTTGCCCAGACTGGAGCAGTGGCGTGATCTTGGCTTACTGCAGCTTCGACCTCCCGGGCTCAGATGATTCTCCCACCTCAGCCTCCTGAGTAGCTGGGACTACAGGCACATGCCACCATGCCCAGTTATTATTTTTTTTTTTTGTATTTTTAGTAAAAACAGTGTTTCGCCATGTTCCCCAAGCTGGTCTTGAACTCCTGGATTCAGGCGATCCACCCACCTAGGCCTCCCAGAGTCCTGGGATTACAGGCATGAGCCACCGTGCCAAGCCACGGTTTTTGTTTTTTTAATTGAAACAGAAAGTAAAGACCGTGATTCTTGAATAAGGTATTTGTGATGTCTATGGTTCAAAATGTTTATGATTTAAGACAGGTATGGCTATTAAAACACATATTACTCCTTAAAAACTTAGAAAATACAAGGTTGTTCAATTATAATAGTATTCTGCATTTCCTGCTCCAAATAAAAAGACTTTGAAAGAGTGGGTCTCCATTTCTATATTTGTCCCTTAGAACCTCAGACAGCGTGTTTTGAGTCTTCATGAACCCTGTGAGAAAGTAACTAACCTACAACTATTTCTTGCATAGCTTTGAAATATAATAAATCAATTGGACCTAAAATCCATTTTAAAGGTTCAAATATTAAGCTTTAGTTATAAAATTATAAAGCCTTTCTCAACAAATAGTCTGGTTTGTAGTGTAGAGACTCCATTTTCATAAAGATTAGTGATATATACCCATAGTCTTTACTTCTAATTTATTTACCAGCGTATTTCCTTATCTGTCCTTCCTCTAGCAACTACATTTCGGCATAATTATTGAGAGATATTTTTTACACGAATTTTAAATTACCTAGATTCCACTAGAGTGCTATATAGTAAGTTGAATAATGGCACCAGAGATATAAAGCCTATTGTCCAGAACATGTAAATATTACTTTATGTGGCAAATATATTGCAGATATGATTAAGAATTTTGAGACTGAGATGTTATCCTGATTATCTGAGTGGCCTTAAATGCAATCACATGTATATTTATAAGAGGGCGGAAGAGGCAGCTTTGACCACACAGAGAAGGCAACAGGAGAAAATAGAACTGAGAGAGGTTTGAAGATACGAACCTTGAAAATTGGATGATGTGCCAGATGATAAACCAAAGAATTCTAGTAGCCATTACAAGCTGGAAGAGGCAAAGGACACATTCTCCACTAGAGCTTCTAAAAGGAGTGTGGTCCCTTTGATAAGTCAATTTTGGCCAAGTGATACTGTTTTAGACTTCTGGCCTCCAGAAATATGACAGAATAAATTTTTGTTGTTTTAAGCCACCAAGTTTTGGTAATCTGTTACAGCAGTCATAGGAATCTAATATAGGTACCATGCATCATGTATACAGAAAACTATAGTAGCAACTGGGTTAAGTTAAGCCAATATAATTCTCATATGTCTCTTCCAAATTCAGTATTAACCAATAAGAAAATTTTCCTTCTAAGTTTCTATTATTCTTATAAAAACCTGCATTCTGTGTTGCTATGCTTACTTACCATAATTGATTAACTCTCTGGTTGTACTTTTGAAAGACTATATCCAATCACTAATCAAAAAGCAGCCATTACTCAGTATGATACCCAGTTGGATGAGTTCAAGTAATTTGCTCAATGGGGAGAAATCTCAAACGGTTTAAATTGTGATGCCTTTTTAGCCATAATGTTGATGCTATATTGACTAAATTGTAATTATATTATACTTGTGCTATTTTTGGCAGTGAGAAAATTTTTTATTCAAATTATCATACTCATTACATATGTAACTATTGAAAAATAAGTTTTGAAGGCTTGTAATCATGTTGCTTTATTTCATAGCTGGCATATAAATGTAAAACCACACTTTGAAACTTTAAAACTATTCCAGAAAAGTTTTTACATTTTGAGTTTGGTAACATTTTGTTAAGATTGATCGTGAATACTTAGTCTTTTTTTCAACTACTGTTAAAAAATGATGGAAAATGTATCATTTGTTAGCAGACTTTTGAAAGTCCTGTAGGCTTGACATACAAAAGCATGAATTATTTTGTATCTGTAAGAAGGTTTCTACATTTGAGAGCAGCAAAGCACAATCAAGGAACAGCTAATCTTAGACCAGAAAGAAACTGGATGAACCTTCTTTCACATCCTGAAAACTAACTGACTTTTTTTGAAGATCAAACTTTTTGAATACCAACTTATGCTAAACTCATAATCTTACAATTGTTTTACGACATAATTATTCATATTCCCATTTTAAAGTTAAAATAACTAAGTCTCAGAGTAGTTAAATATCGCCTCCTTGGAGTACTAAGTCGGAATTAGGTAACCAGGTCTGCCTATGTCTTTTCTGTCTCCATGCAGCACTATCTTAAGTAATATAGCCACTTTATCAATTAGTGAGATAATCTCCATAGTTTCTAGGCACTTTAACTTTATTTACACATAAGAAATTAAATTTTGAATACCAACACCTCTTTCAAAATCCATCTTCTTTTAGAAATGACAGGGAAAATGTCATTCAACAGACAGTAAAACAGTGCCCAGTGTAGATTAAATAAAAACAAAATGTTCTGTTCTGAGTTTTGCAATGTGGTATAATGAGTTTTTCACAAGAAAAAAAAATGGCCGTAATAAGAAGTGCCCCCGGCTCTCATACTTTTAATGTTATTAAATTAAGTTCCTTTGACCTTACCTTGAAAATTCCATTCCAAAGCACACTAACAAGCTATTTGTTACTTTTTAATTATTTCAATTGTTATCTGAAATGTGAGCAAGGTTAAAAATTTTTTGTGGGAAAGTATTAAAACTTCGAGTTCTCATTAAGAACTGCAAAATTTGTCCTTTCAGTCTTCTGACCAACATTCTCCATTCATTACTGTAGAGTTTCCCTCTGAAAGAGGACTACAGAGATAAGATGAGGTCAGTGATAATGGCGATGATGATGGTGATGATGATGACAAATCTGACATTAAAGAAAGTTCAACTGTGGCGAATTCTATTGTGCATTTCCAGTCACCTCTAGGTCAAAGTCAGATTTTTTTCATCATATATACTTTTTTGATCTTATAAGCCAATTGTATCAGTTAATTCATCATCATTAGACTGAGTTTAATGAAAGAGTAAGGGTATAACATTTTGAGTGCTTATTATGTTTTAAGCACTGGGCTAGCCCCTTGACCTACCTGACCTCAAATGGCCACTGTCATCTTTAGTATCATTAATGGTGGTTTTCTGCCCTTGCTGCATGTCAGGCTTATCAAGGGACATTAAAAATTATTGATGGCTTAGGCTCTATGACAGAAAAATTACAACAGAACATTTCAAAAGGTCAGTTACAGCCATCAGTATTTTTTAAAAATTAAATTAAAATTTGAAGCCAAGGGAAAGGAAGTATCATCACCTTCAAGATAAAAATGTTATTCCCTCTTATCTCTATTTGGCCAGTTTAGAAAGTTCAGGGAGACTTTCTTCACTAAACTACCTTTCCAGCAAAAAATAACCCTATGAAGTATGAGATATTGAAATATTAATTTGCTTTGCTTTTCTCCGTTCTTCCTCATAGTCAAAATAAATCAATAATTATAAAATTATTCACCCAAGGACTCTTGCCTCTGAGTCTGATATGCTTTTGTATGTCTTTTCTGTACTAAATTTACTGTTTCCTTTTATAAGTCAAAAGCATGTGTCTGGTCTAGGGAATTCAAGTGAAGAGAATTCAAAATTAGAATGAGGAACATAAAACATAGCACCTGGCTGTGCCCAGTTACTTAAATCAAGCAAGCTAATAACTCAGGTAGAACCAACTAGCCTTGTTTGATAATCCTGGCATGGAAAGTTACTAAGACATAAAAATCAATTAAAAATACATAATTAAAAAAATACGTGTTTTAAATGAGTTTCTATATTGTTTGTTTGTTTATCTAACATGCTCATATGGATAGCAAGGTTTATTCCCAAGTGGGTTGAGTTCCTTTGACTTGTGTAGCACCTTTTTTTATCTAAATATTTTTTTTTTTAATGGAGCAGACATAGAGTTACTAGAAAAATTCAGCTAATGCTCTTCACAGAAGAAGCACAGAAGAGATCTCACAAACAGAAAATCAGCCATCATAAAATGATACTGTCAGGGGCACCTTTATCACCTTTATCTATCCATTTAAAAATGAAGACTT
Organism: Homo sapiens; assembly: GCF_000001405.40. Lineage (NCBI taxonomy): Eukaryota > Metazoa > Chordata > Mammalia > Primates > Hominidae > Homo > Homo sapiens. The sequence continues at coordinate 89,120,136 of NC_000007.14, forward strand.
AAAACTGAAGTCTACACACTTACCTGTAATCCCAGCTACTTGGTAGGCCGAGGCAGGAGAATTGCTTGCTTGAACCTAGGAGGCAGAGGTTGCAGTGAGCGGAGATCGCACCACTGCACTCCAGCCTGGGCAACCGAGCAAGAACTCCATCTAAAAAACAAAGAAAGAAAACCAAACCAAACCAAAACAAAACAAAGCAGAAAACACACTTACCAAAGATTTCTAAAAAATTAAAAATCTGGCCGGGTGCGGTGGCTCACGCGTGTAATCCCAACACTCTGAGAGGCCGAGGCGGGCAGATCACGAGGTCAGGACATCGAGACCATCCTGGCTAACATGGTGAAACCCCGTCTCTACTAAAAATACAAAAAAATTAGCCGGGCGTGGTGGTGGGTGCCTGTAGTCCCAGCTCCTCAGGAGGCTGAGGCAGGAGAATGGCGTGAACCCGGGAGGCGGAGCTTGCAGTGAGTGGAGATCGCGCCACTGCACTCCAGCCTGGGCGACAGAGCGAGACTCCGCCTCAAAAAAAAAAAAAAAAATTAAAAATCCAAAAATCTACTTTTAGTCGTCAGCACCTTATGTCCAATGAATTGGTTTTTAGTTTTATTGTTTTTAATTTCCATTTTGTTTGTGTGGCAGAAGATACTACTTTTTAATTACACTTCAAATAGTTTGCAAAAGAAAATAATAGTAGCAGTAATGATTATTATGTAAAAGTGGGCTTTTCAATAGAGGTAGACGTTCAAATATGTTAATGACCAACATGCTGAGACAGATACTTGAGAAGCTACATTGCTTTATCCAACAAAAATATAGCCACTATTTCTGTGACACCTACTGTCCAAGACATTTTGCATATATTAAACGACTTAGTCATCATAAAATGTGCTCCTTATTTCCATTTTGTAAGGATGATAAACGAAATCCAGAGAGGTTAACGAACTGCCTGAGAGGTAGACCAGGTGATTCCCCACCTGTGTCACACCCCACACCAGCAGGCTTTTTGCTCCTCAAGGCTTTATGACACATTGGTAGAGAGCTCATTGCTGTCTGGCTAGATCAACTATTTGCTTATTTGTTTAGGAGTCATGAAATCCTCTTTGACTTTCTATTGGGTTGGAACTATATATAAGACTAATGTATTTCCTACAATTTTACCTGGGAATAAATATATTCTATAAAGACTGTATGTGAGTTGTTAAGATGTCTCTAGTATGGTGAAATACCTAGCATATTTGACAGCTCATTTTTAACATTTTTCTCTATAATACAAAATTATTTTCATTAATAGCCATGGAATAAAATAAATGATAATAATGGCCATAAAAATAATACAAACAGTTAAAAAATTATTGAACTTTTATGTATAATCTGCCAGAAAAATACCTACAATAAATGATATAGTATGAAAAAGAAAGTAACATGTTAATACTTTTAAATTACATTAATGTATTGGACTAAACTAAGTATTAGTTATCATAGTAATGGATTAAAATATTGACATTTCTGTTTCTTGTTTTAGCTTCTGCAAATTTCTATACTTTTAATTAATAAAGAATCTAAAGATTTACCCAGAGGTATAGAATTAAAGTAAATCAAGCCCTTCCTTTATTTTGGTAATTGTGTTATTAGTGTTTATTTCTAATTTATCATTTAAATGCAGAACCAGGTGGTACCACAGAGGCACAAAATGCACAGAAAAAATCGGGACAAAATATTATGAACTTACCCTAAAGACAATTTTTGTGTAGCTGGGTCTGTGAGTGTTGGATATCAGCTGTGTAGGCAATAGTTATTTGAATTAACTTCCATGTACTATACAGTGTTTATTAGAAGATTAGTAAAAATGTGCTAATTTAAAATTTATGTGCCTATATATGTATATAAGTATATGTATATATTAATTATGCTATATGTTAAATTATGTGTAAAGTAATATATATATTAAACTACTTATTTATATAGTTAAAATACAATAGTAACCACAGCAGTTTTTTAGAACTGTCCTGTCTGATATGACAGCCATTGGCCACATGTAGCTACTTATACTAAACTTAAATTTGTCAATATTTAAAGAAACTCAAGAATATTAAAACTTACTTAAAGAAAATAAAATTTCAATTCTTCAGTCACATTAGCCATGTTTCACATGCTACATAGCTCATGTGGCTAGTAACTACTGTATATGACCTCATAGATACAGAACATTTCCATTACTGCAGAAAGTTGGTTGGGCTGCATTGATTTAGAATTTATATCGTCCAAAGATTTTCTTGATTAGAAATACTTTATTACTAACGTTGTTTAGAATTACCAGTGGGAGAAGATGAAAAATCAAACTGACTTTTAGTAGGTATTATTATTACATAACATTTGTCTACAGGCAGTGCAACCCTTATTCCTTTCAATGGGGGCCATCCATTCCCACCACCTTGTCCTGCGGTTGCTGTTGCTCCAGTGACCCATTAATGCTTCTATGGCTTTCACATTCTTGTAGACAACTGGTGCCTTGCCACTTAATCAGACCTTATGCAGAGTATTATTGGTGTGGTTTTGATGCCAAGTTGTTCTACTTCCTCAGAGGACACACCCCATCAATCATTCTCCATCTTTTCTCTCTTTACTGTCAATTCACCATGAATCGAAGCAAGCTGTGTCTTACCTTCATACAAATTTACATTATTGTGCCTTGGTTTATTTTCTCTGTCTAGTCAACTTTGAACCATTTTCATATCCTACTTTTCTGAAATTGAATTTTATGATTCTGTTTGCCTCCCAGTCATTCCTAGTTTCATTATAATCTGCCTTCCGCCTAATCTGTCCTGGCTATTGCCATCCCAATCTCTACAAGAACTCATCCCTGACCGAACCCTATGGACTGAGCCCTGACACCATGATCCCGTGGTGTCTATAAAACTTGTCACGGTATACTTGAAAGGTGGATTTGTTTGTCTCTTATGGGCAGGACAATGTAAACTCCTAGAATATGTAAGTAATTCTGAGCCCCAGGACCAAGTTCAGCTTTTTTTTTTTTTTAATGTAGAGATCACTAAGCAAATATTTGTAGAAGGAAGGGAAGAAGGGAGGGAATTTTGATATTATTTTGAATAACCTAGTTGTGAACTCAAGTAGGGGGCAAGAAGACAAGCAATTAAAATAAAGACCATGCATGTCTGCTATCCTCAAGACTATGGAGTCCTCAAGATGATATACTATGATGGCAAGCAAATTACTCTGCATTTGTGAAGATGCACCTCCTCCAATGATCAGATGTATTACAGATGCATCAGTGATACACTGTAAATCGATACCTTGAAATTGTCCATGGCTCTATTCATTTAATGTAAGAAGTATAATGAAGGGTTTGCTTTATGCTAAGCATTGTGCTAGAAACTGAGGATAGCAAGATGACTAAGACATTTCACCTGCCCTTAAGAGGTAAATTTATTTGTTAGGAACAAGACACAAATATTTAAAATAATTATGATGATAATGATAGTTAATGTTCATTTAGTTCTCCTAATTTTCCAGCACTAAATGCTTCTCATATATTTTACTATATAATTTACTTAACAGCATATAAGTATTAATGTTATTACCCTTTTATAGGTGAGGAAACTGAGACAGAGAGGATGAGTAAATTGCCAAAGATAATACAAGTAGTAATTGGTTTAGTTGGAATTGTATCCAGGTAGCCTGGAAACTTGGAATATTTGTAAGGATTTATAAGACTCCATGGAATATATTTATATAAGACTTTCATTTTAACCCAAATATACGATGTGGCAAGAGAAGGAGTGTACAGGCAAGCATGGGAAGTCTGAAACACAACAAAGTGCAAACTCCTCCCAGGTTCTTAGTCACACATGGATGGACTTTGCCTCCAGAAGGAACCACGTTGAATTGTGCCATAACTCTTGGCTCCAAGTGAACTCAAGGTAGAAGTTACCAGGAGGATATGTCATGTCCCTCTGGCTTCTGGTCAAGCTGGACTGTCTAACAGGTTATGCTGGGTGCAAAGCATCAGTAAACAAACTTGTACTGCAGTTAGCTAGGGAGTTCTGGACTTTAAACAGCACATCATAAATCCCACTATTCTTATCTTGAAAAAGATTCAAAGCCAGTCATCCAGGCATCTCCAGAAATAAGAAACAATAATTCTCAGTCTAGCTTTGTATTTACTCTATCCTACGCAGAAGAGCTAATCATGGTGATGGGGATACAAGGGAGAAAAGTTTGGGAAAAAGCATACTGATGATCCATGAGTGAAAGCATATACAAAACTGCAGAAACAAAGGCTGTTTTCCTAGTGCTCTGCTGGGACAAGGGGTGGACTTGAAATGACATTAATTACTCTAAGCCAGTAAATGTGTTCAGCACTTCAGGTATGTAATATTTATCCACATAACAACCCCATGAAATCAGTTTCCCTTCATTTATAACTGAGAACATTGAGGCTTAGTGAGAAGAAGTAATTCGTCAAAACTTAGATGAAGAGAAAATAGAGAAGCGCTATCACCCTGTCTCAAAAATAGGTGATTATGATTTTTGCAATGTTGTCTGCAGGTAAATGTGGAAAGAATTGAAGGGTTGTAGGTAAAGGTCAATAGAGACTTGTGGTTTTATTTATGGCCAAATGCAGTAGAGGATCTTGTTGGTGACTAATAGAATTTTTTTTTTCAGTTCTTGATAACTTTAAAGACCTTGATGAAAATATTGGGAGTAGTCTCAGGTCAGAAAGACTTGTTCTCATTCAAGAGTCCATCCTCTTTTTGTCTATCAGGAAATGCCAGGACTGGCTGGATAGCGTTATGTTTTTTATTGCTCTCATACCAATGTTTAGCATGTGATTGACCGTCACTCTCCTGAAGAAAAGGACTTTGGAGACAATTGTTGTTTTTTTTTTTTTTTAGTTTTATCAAGCTGTATTTAATTTTGGTGTGTCAATATGACAGATGTCAAGGAAACTTCTTGGCTTTTTTTCTTAATCTCTTCAGCTTAAGGGGGTGTCTGGCAGCCTGATTTTGGTGATGAGCTGGCTGTCACAGCTGTAAGTAGCGCCAAGGAGAATAGATAAAAAGATTTTTGAAACTTAAGGGTATATTGGTAGAATTATTGTGAACAGAAGCAGTCCATTTTCTGAAGTGGTTTCATGAATATACTCTATCATGAAGATATAGATATTGATATGAATGTATATATATTATATATCTATGTGTATATGTGAATATATGTAAAATGATCAAAATAATTTATGCCTGGACTAACTTTCAAACTTCTTATTTTTATTATTTTTCTTAATCTCATATCTCAAAGAAACCAATTTCTACCAATTCTTGCTTTCATTAAAAAAATTCTAACAGTCTTAGCCATAATTGATTACTATTGTCCATTCATAAGCATTCCATTAAAAAAGAAAGAAACCAGGCTGTGGGTTTTAATTTAAATTTTCTTAGCTTAACAAATAAAATTTAAAAATTGAGTAAATTGTTCTTCGAATGCTTAAAAAGTAAGTTTTTATTATTTCCAATGTAATGGGTGCTACTTCTTCCTTCAGTATCTTAGCGTGTTTGGTACAGAACAGAATGAGTTAACAACAGTAGCCTGTCTATGCCTCCTTTGTTCAAGTGACTGCAACTAACTGCAAATTTTAGAGGTCCATGTTGAAACTCCAATAATCTAAAATAATTTAAAATGAATAATACATAATATTTATGAAAAAATAAAATGCATTTTATGCCAGATATATATTTTAATGCATGTCGGCTACATGCTCAAGACTGTAGGGCACTCAAGAAGATACACTATGATGGCAAGCACATTACTCTGCCTGTGTCAAGGTTCCCCCTGATGATCAGATATATTACAGATGCATCAGTGATGTATTGTAAATCAATATCTTCAGATTGTCCATGGCAATTCAACTGATTTGAGTTTCTGGCAAAAAATGACTTGACTAACATATTGGTATTCTGGTTTCATGAAATGTTAATGGATTTTTTTTTTAAGAAAATGAATTTCTTGGAGGGAATTGAGTAACTTGACATTTCAGCTTTTTTAACATATTAGTGTACAATATGACAGTTTTCTTGATGAATATCAAAGAGAACAGTGCTGTATACTGGGTTTTCCCAATATATTTTTGGAATAAAGGTATTTCTCAAATCTCTCTTTAGGAGGAAATTCTTGATGGCTGAGTAAACCACAGCCATGGGAGAAATACTGAATTACACCGTCTTGAGACTACTGGGAAGTGAAGCTAACAATATTTTGGGTTAAAATCAATCTCCAATCAATACACAAAGAAATCCCCACACACATTGTGGAGTCTCTGCTTTATTAATAATCTCTACTGTCTTACAAATAATATACTTTGGAACTTCTTCATGACAAAAACTTAGAATGTCCATCAAGAGAATATCATTAATTATTGAAAAAGAAGTACCAGAATTTTACCTCTCATTATTAGAAATTTTTCTTCTGCTTTCTGCAGATTTTTGAATTATGGTATTTGTGTGTGTGTGTGTGGTGGCCCTTTTATTTTTGGAACACATAAGACTAATTCACATCCTTTTATAGATTCGGAGTACGGAGATTCTTTATTTATCAACCTTTTCTGAAACTAAGCTATTTCTCTTCTTTAAATTATACACTGTGTGATCCACATGAAGATTTGTAGGCCATAAAAGCATCATTAGTATACTGAGATGGTAACATGATAAATAGATCTCACACAGATAGATTTAACTTTTGCAACTCAGATCTCTCACAGGAAAATGGTACCTGCTCTGCCTACCTCACAGGGATGCCAGAAAACAAACATGAAAATAATGCAATATGTGTGAAAATCTTTTGTAAATTGCAAAGCAGCCTACAAAGACAAAGAACTTTAATAATGATAATGATCATGACTCCCAACTGTACCTGATCATTTCTGGAAAATAGAACAGCTTATAAGTTAGCCAAAGACAAACATCCTCTGGCTCAAATAGAGATTGTGTCAAAGAATATGTTTCCTTTAAAACATAATTCATTTTAGGAAAACACTAGAGGAGAAAAATAAATATCGATATTGATGTTCAAGATATTTCTAAAAATTCAGAAATCAGCTCTTTAAGAATCTATGAATACAAAAAGAATTGAGATGAGTAATCTTTGTTTGTTTGTTTTTGGTCTGTTTTTCAACTATTTTTCTTCTTATAACATTGGAAGAGCACAAATCCCAAAACGGTATTTTTTTGAACGTTATTGTGTTGTCCAAGGCAGAGTTATCTTAAGTGAAAAATCTCTGAAGCAGTAAAGAAAATATACTGAAAGTGCCTCAATGATCAGAATGTTTTCTTCTTGAGAAAGTTATATAGTACTTTTAAAAGTACAGGTCAGAGTATGTCTTTGCACTCAATTTTGATTTTTATATAAAATCCTAGATGTTTCTACCACAGCTGGATCTCTAAGGAAGTAGTTAAGAAAAGAAAAATGTAAGCGCAGATAACATATAGTTCTTTTTAGTCCCATAGGAAGCCATAGTGTCATGTTACTGAATAAAATATTTTGAGGTTCACACAATTCACATATAAATCTGTCTTAAATATAATTAATATATTTAATATTTTTCAAAATAAACATGACGGTATTAGGTTTGCCATTAAGTAATGGCAAAACAGCAATTACTTTTGCACCAACCTAATACTTTCTGATGATAAATTCAGACAATAAAAAAGGTAAAAGATTATTTAAAATCCATTTGTATCTGTAAGTATGTATAATTATTATTTTCATATAAAAACTTCAGGATTTTTTTCTACCATTTTTGATCAGTTTTACTTTAGAAAAATGAAATAATACTGTGCATAATCTTTTATAACTTGTTTGGCACTGAAGTACTTTTGTAGGTATTTTTGTGAACATCATAATTATGCAGCATAGTATTTAGTATGTATATCCAATTCTATTGTAATTAATAGTGTAATTTTTAATAAATTCCTTTTGGGCGTTTGAATGTTTTGATTTTTTTTAGTATAAAATCTAATTGGTGAACATTGTTAAACTAACATCTTTGTACTTTAGACAATTATTTATTTGGGTTAAAGTCCTAGACATGTAGTTGTTAAGCAATATTAAAATTGAACACATATAAAATTGTATACTTATTGCTGGATCTTCATTAATAAATTGTAGCAATTTCTCCCCAATGAAAGCTAGATTTAACCATTTCACAATGTATATATACTTTAAAACATAGTATTGTACACAATTAGTTATATAGAATTTTATGTGCCAATTTAAAATAAATACATTAATTTGAAAAGTATGTGAGAATGGCCTTTAGCCCATCCTTTTATCATTATGAAAGTGTTAACAAGAATGTTTTTTTCTTTCCCAGTCAGATGCAGAAAATGTGAAATCTCATTAGCTCAGTCTGCATTTATTTTATTAATAATGAGGTTGAACATCTTTTTATGTTTATCAGCCATTCTTTTGCTGTGTGTGAAATATGTTAATTTCTATTTTTTCTCTTTTTCATGTTAATTTGCTCATATTTTTCTAATGGATATTAACACATAACTAGTTTAACATATTTTCTCATCTCTCTGTTTTTTCTACTTCTCTGTGTAACTAAATCACTATCTTTGCATTTCATTAAAAATCAAATACTCTTTTTATTCTGTAAATGACAGGAATCCCTAAGGGAGTGAGAACCAGCTCTGTAAAAGAGACCCTGATACACGTAAAATGAGACCCTAGTTGTATCATGTCTGTGGCTAAGTGCCTCATGCCAAGGTGAAAGCATTCACGTTCATGTTTGGTTGAGTGTTTCTGAGAGTGTGGTCTTAGCCCTCCTTGCAGCAGAATTCATTGTGCTGACTGCTCCACAATAGATTCCTGTTCCCTCTGTATCCTTGTTATTTCCAGGGACAGGCCTAGAACCTGCATTTAATAATTAGGTATTTCTTATACCTGCTAAAGTTTGATAACCTGTAAGTTGAATAATTCTTGGGTATTAATCCCTAGATAAATTCAGGACATCATTTGAAGACTATTTTTTACGTTCAGTGCCCCCTCCTCCATGAATGGATCATTATGGAAAGAGATCCACCTTATATATTCAATACATTAAAACATTTAAGTAATTCAATAAAGTGATATTATTGTTTTGTTAGATGAGAATAATATATCATCATATTTCCCTTGTCAGTATGGCTTCCAGTAAGTCCAAAATTAAAATCAATGCTCAGTTTAAGAAATCTCATTGATTTACATTTCTTTAAACCACAAAGTACAACAAAACATTTGGGAAGCCAGGAAGAAATGAAAATAAATGTGCACTTCCCAAGCAACCTAACATAACAGGATATTAAAATGGGCTCCTCTCTTTCTAGCTGGACTAAGGCTTCCAAGATTGAGAACAATACAGTAGTTCTCAGAGTCTTAGATGAGTAATAGCTAACATTTTCAGTGCTCATTACATGCCAGGCACTCTGCTAAGACCTCTAAATTTATTAACCCCTCAAATGATTTGATGAGGTAGAATACTATTATTTACTATTATTTCCATTCACAAATTAGAATGTTAGGCATAGAGAGTTTCAGTAACTTCCTCATGGTTATTAAGCAGTCTGCTAGGAAAGCTGGGATTTAAACACAGGCCACTGGGCTCCAGAGCACGTGCTCTTAGCTACCAATCCATGCTGGATACTTTATATCCTGGGAGATTATAAAATTAGTGCCAGTGGCATTAGCCCATGAAGACAAAAATATATATTTGGGTGAGTAAGAAGATTCTTAAGGCTAATGATGAGGAATTCATTATTCAGAGAAGAATTATATTCCCTTTAATTTTTCATGGTAAAATTGTGTGTAGACTTCTCCTTCACCTTAAATAAGGAAGAAGTTTAAAGTGAACCTCTTGGAAACTGTAATATATATTCCCAGCTGTTGGAGGGTTATACAGAGATTAGTGTCAATTTTCACCAAGAGAAAATGAAACAGAAAAGACTACTGGAGTGGTTTTCCTGGCCACAGAGTGAAGAGGGAGGATCTGCATCCCAATTGAAAGGTGGCTGCGGGTCCCTTTATCTTGCAGGCTGTATGAGAGAGTTATGTTTGGAAGCTGACTGTGGCCCATTTGCCATCCTAAAAGGGACTTGCTCCTGGAGAATGGCTGAAACAGAAGTTACCCAGGAAAGGAGTAGGAAGCCAGCTTGGAAGAAAGCAGCTTTCTGAAGGAGACATTGACCATAGTAAGGGAATAGTTATATGGAAGATGACCTATAGGAAATGTTCCTTAGAAACCCCAGATGAACCCCAAGAAGGAACTAGAGAGGGGGCATCTGTCACATCTGCCTATGATGCAACTGACAACCACTCCAGCTCCATGAAACTTTGCTCATCTTCGTGAATCTTCTATTTCTCCTTGTTCTGACCCCTGAAGGTTAGAAATAGCATCATGAAGGATAAAAGGGGTGAAATGAATACGAGAGAAGACACATCTCCAAATACAGCATTACGAGACTGGGACTGGCCCATGCTGAGGAGAGGGGACGCCTTTAAAGAATACATTGAACATTTTTAATAAGAATGAATTTGATTCCTTCTTTTCATTTTAACTAGAAAACAAAATGACTATTTACTTTTTCAGAATGACAGGAATAACTAAGAAACATGAGGTGATTTTTATACCAAGGTAGAGAAGATCATCCCTACAAAGCGTCTAGGGGGTGTCTTATTACTAAAGAAACAATCATCTAAGCAGTCTTATCCCAATCTTCCTGTATTTTAGGAACTGAACGACCAAAGTTTATGAAATTCTTTTATTAGTTTTGTGTAAAACTGGAATATAGCTTATACTTTTGAAGAAGTGTTACATCAGCTACTTTTAAACTCACTCATTTCTATTTTCTGTATAGAAGCAGGGGAGCACATTTCATAAGTTGTCCCTTCTTCAGAATCTTGTCTGCCCTCCTTATAAAGGGAAGTTCATGTATCTGAGATCTTTGATTTGTGGGAACATAAAAATCAAATTGACTTTATGCAGCATTTTTATAGAGAATTATGTTTTTTGAAAGCCCAATATCAAAGTCTGCTTTGTTCTAATTTAAAAGATAATCAAAATATCTTCAACACTATGGGAAGTCTCCCAGTAAACATGGATTTATATTTAGCACAATTTATTTGAAAACCAGAAAGTCTGCCAAAGTGGTATAAACATTAACTTATTTTGATTTTAGAAGACAGATATTAGTGAGAAGTAATAAAATATTGCCAGCCTTCATAGGCAACTCATCATCACTGTTAAAACTAAATAAGAAGAAAAGACCCAGTTATGCCTAACATGGACCGATGTTGGTTGAAAGGTAGATAGACCCCATAACTGGCTAGCCACATTTGAAGGCTATAATCATAGAAGATGGGTGAAGGAAATGCACAACACCAAATTTGCAACATAGACTCATTTGACGAAGGGGAAAATATGGGACATTTTAAGGAAAATGTCAGAGGAAATTGCTTGATAGTATGAACTACTTATGTGTGATTCTTAAGAAAATTGTCTCCTTAGGAAATTGTGTTCTCAAAATGTCTTAAATAAAAATAGACATAACTGAATATTCTATATTGTGGTCAGACATTAGAAAACTTGTTTTTACCTGTCATAACTCCTCATTCTCCTGAGGAAGACTTAGGATTTGTCTGAGTTTGAGGGTTCTGGAGACGTACTCAACCTGTTTCCCATTCAAGCCTGATAACACGAATCTTAGGCTAAGACCCCATTAAAACCTAATTGGATAATTTTGTACATGAATAACTAAATGCAAATTCAAATGCAGATAGCATATATAAACTGCATAAAGGCAAGGTGATATTACCTATATGATTATTACATGCATATAACAATCTCCACTTATTCACTGAGAGTTTATTGAAATAAACTCAATACTGTTCTCTTCATGGGAAGGATAAGGAAGTCCTAGCTTTCAATGTGCTGAAAGGCCTGTAGGGAAAAGAAAATAACAGGAATGAGAACACACGCACACATACACACACACACACACACACACACACACACACACAGTTTGATGCAATGAGTAATTAAGTGCTACATTATAGAACACAAGACTATAGGTGTTCAGAAAAAAATAAATCAGTGAGAACTGGAATACTGCAGAGGAATTTTCTGAAAACAAAACAAAACAAAACAAAGACGCTATCTTGAAGTGTGCCTTGAAAAGTGAGTAAGTTATAGAAAACCAGACTGGAAGTGAGGAAATTTCAAGAAAGAGAAATAAAATCCCACAGGTCCAATGGAGGAAATGACAAGGAAACTGGACTAGGGAAGCAGCATAGCACAGTGGCTACAAACAGAGTCAGGAGCCAGATTTACCTGAGAGTCTCAGCTCCACTACCTACTGCTGTGACCTTAGGTATTATGTCATCATTCTGTACACACTTCCATTGTCAGTAAAATGGAGGTAAACTATCATATCAATTTTTTATGTGAGCAGTTTTGAGAATTAATGAGTTGATATATGTATAAACTTATGCTAGGACTCAGTACCTAGAAAGCATCCAACAATATTGTTATTATTGTTGTGCAATGGTAGAAGATGTAATTGTCATGGCTAGAATGAAGCCAAATTATGTAACAATAGCAAATGCCACTTGTTATAGACTAACTGAGCAATAGACCCTAGGCTCAATGCTTCGTGTACATTTTCTTCCTTATTCCCAACCACAGTGCTGAGAGGGAAACATCATTTCTCTCACTTTAGAGAGGAAGGGGCTGAGATTTCAAGAAGCAATTTTCTTAAGAATTCCACTGCTGGTAAAATACAGCCAAAGATTTGCAGTCAGATCTTTTGGCCTATGCACCAGTGTTTTTATCTGCTGCATTATAATGCCTTAACCTAAATCTAAGAGGGCTCTGAGATTTAGGCAGGGGGCGTGTATCTCAGACCGAAATTTACTGGATGGGTTTGAAGCAGAAAAGAGTTCATATTCTGGAAAACCAGCCAGGTGGCAGCTGGAGGCTGTTGGAATACTCTAGGAAGGGAGGTAAATGAGCTTCTTGTCTATTGGCAGTGCTGAGACCTGCAAAGGCAGAACCAGGATGCTAGATTGGTTCACCACAAATTTTTCACACTAATTTTCAAATAAAATTTACACTATTTTAGTCTGGGCCCTGAAGATGAGACTTCAGTTAAGTATGACTCTTGTTTGTAGAGCCCACCTGACTAAGGATATGGTTGCTTCTGAAAGGCCAACACTGAGAAAGCCTGCACAAGGGACCTAGGTTCCTTTCACATAAGGCCAGGGTTAAGAGAGTCTGGTGTTAGCCCATATACTTTTCACAGTGCTGGCTGGGTGCATCTACCATTGCCTTCATGAGACTGGTAATGAGCTTTCCTGTTACCTTGTATTGCATTTCACTTGCCCCATGGGAGCTCATGTTCACGTTCTCTGAGCTGTGTTCCATACAAAAGTCACTTAAGAAATAACAAAGTTGTCCTGGAAGACAGTGATTGCTCCTAATACAGTTGAGAATTCTATGCTTTGTAGCCTTAGACCCTTTACAAGCAAATAGTAGAAATAAACGTCATGGCTAATGCACTTCGGTAATATAAAAGGTTTCTACAAGGAAAATACTGCTAACAGTAAACTGTTTATATATAGAAAAGATAAATCATAATGGAGTGGTAATTTCAGTTTATTTTGTATCTCATTGTGTCTCTCCTTGGGGAACTCCAAGTGCTCTAAAGACACTATCTCATTACTATTTTGAGTACCTCTGAAAAATATGCAGAAAGCATTTTCTCCAATTTTTGTTTAAGGATCTAAGTCACGGAATTTATGCAGCTTTTCAGTGGATGAAAGTGGATTACTCCTTTTCACAGAGAGGATTGTTTCAGTGAATGGCTGATTGTCTGGTAAGATTAGTCACCCAATTTAAGAAAAACAAAAAAAGAACACTGTCCCCAACAAAAACAAATAAGCAAACAAAAAATACCCTGTTAATCTATTTCAATACATGTTTTGGCAACATTTTGTAGACTTGTTTGAACGTCATAAATACAGCCAGGAACAGAATGTGTTTTTCTGACTTTATCTGCTAAGTAACCAACCACATTGTTAGGTGAAAGTTGTTGATAAGTAAGATGAAATTTTTAAGAAAAAAATTAGGAGACTTGAGGTTTCCAGATAAATGTGTAAAACAGTGGGAATGGAGCTGCTTTTTTCTGTTTTCTGCTATCTCAGTGAGGCCAACCCTAATCAATGACATATCAACATCCCTAACAGAGCATAATCTCTGCATCCAGAAACAATGAATGAAGAATGGTAGATCACTTCCTTAGAGTTTCTAAGGAAATTGTAACAGAGCCTACTAACTCTTTCAGGCATGTGACTCCCTAAAGCACCTACCTCTTCATGCATAGCTGGAGGGTTTGATGTTGCTGCTTCTCTGCCCACCTTTCCCACAGCGTTCCTGCTTCCCCAATTTCCTGCCTTGACTCAGTTGAATAGATTCAGGAATTACTTAAGTTGCAGCATAGTTCTGGAAGATGCTAGTGCTTGTCTTCTTGGTTGATCCTTTTGGGTAAATTCTTTGTAGAACAACTTAACTCATCTTTATTACCAGATATAATAACCCATATTTTATTGCTCTTAATTTTATGTATAACCAAACATCCTGTTTTTTTTTTAACCGTCTTTCAAAGAGAAAATGTTTTTGAGCTACTATGTACTGTGAATGCTGATCTCTGGCTAATAATTAGGAAAGGTAATGTGCCTGTTATTTTTGGTCAGTTTTATTGCATTGACCTTACTCCTTTCAATAAATATTTCAGTGGTGGAAAAAGAGATATTTGAACCGTAAATTCTACATTAGTGTTTTGTTAAATCGTTCTACATAGGCACTAGTTTTCAGCTACAAAGTGATTAGAAAATATTCGTTGTATTTGGTCATTAATGAACTGTTTCAAAGCGAATCAAGACCAAGCTCAAGCATCCATCACCATTTCTTTTCCATGACTGACTTACAATAGAAATCTACAGATGTTAATCACCAAGATACTTTTCCTGATTTGTAAAACCTGAGAAAGTTGGGCATTCTCTTATGGCTGCTTTAATTTGCATATTTCCATATAGTGTAAAGCCTAACAGAAGCCAAGAAATTGCTTAATTATTTGCTGATCTTGAATACAGCCCAAATGTTGCTTGAAATGTCTATGCAATTGTCTTCTCTGCATGATCACCTACTAAGTCTGCTCCATGACTCCTCCTTCACATCTACTGATAGTCAGATTTTCTTCTGTTTGTATCAAGATTTCATGTGATTTATCACATTTTTTTACTTTAAAACATTATAATTGAGTAATATTTGTTTTAGCTTATGTAGCTATTTCCTATCACTTTACAAAGGTCTTTGTTAGGTTGTAAATTTTTTTAACTACACAAGCCATTAGATGTGTACATACTCTTACATCTTTCTTGTTCTTTCCATAAAACGTGTCCTATCTGATGCACAAGGATGATATTAAGGTGAAAGCTTTTTATCATCTAATTTTCATTTTACTTTCACAGTCAGACTGGATTTTCAATATATTTTTGTTATAAAAAACTATTACATATCTCTTGTCTACTTTAGGCATCATTCCACCTATTCCTGTATAACAGGAAATGCGAATAGGCCTCTCACTAGCTTAGATGATGTTCTATAAGAGAGAAGACAAGATCAGTTATTTTTATATTTCTAAACACATTTGAGACTGGTTAAAAGAATATAAAGCTATCTTTTGGCTTAATATTCTTTATTGATAGATCAGATAAAGTAGAAAACTGAGAAATAGCAAAAATTTATGTTTTTGAATTTCTTAACCTTCAAAAATATTTCAAAATTTATAAACTTTGAATTTATTTGTAGCTTGCTAACATCATGTCCTGAAAACTAACAATATAGCTGTAGATATAATGTTGATTATTAGAATTTATAAGATTTTTAGTATAACTTCAAATATTTTAAATATTCTTCTTTGCTTCCTATTGAAGAGAAAGCAAGCTCAGGCATGAGTATCTCTTTTAGTTGAAGATCTCTTGCCTGTTTGTGTTGTGTGCAGCCTAATTAATTCCATTGAAAAGAATACTTACCATATTCACTGTATTCAGGTAAGAATGCTATTTCTTTGTGTGTGTATTTTTTTGGGGGGGTCTCAATTTCTTTACTGTGATAAAATATGAATAATATAACATTTGTTACTTTAATAATTGTTGAATGTACAATTCAATGGCATTAAGTTCATTCACATTTTTGTGCATTTATCACTACTCTCTATGTCAAGAAATTTTTCATCTTTCTAAACTGAAACTCTGGATTCATAATACAATAATTCCCCTGCCACCTTTCCCCCAGCTTTTAATAAGCACTATTCTACTTTATCTGTATAACTTGATGATTCTAGGTGCTTCACATCAGTGGAATTCTACAAATCATACAATCATTTTGTATCTGGCTTATTTCACTTAGCATAATGTTTTCAAGGGTCATTTTTGTTGTAGGATGTATCAGAATTTTTTCTTTTTAAGGCTGAATTATATTTGTGTGTGTGTGAGTGTGTGTGTGTGTGTGTGTGTGTGTGTGCGCGCACGTGTGTGATGATTTGGCTATGTCCCCACCGATATCTCATCTTGAATTCCCACAAGTTGTAGGAGGCACTGGGTGGGAGGTAATTGAATAATTGGGGGAGGTCTTTCCTGTGCTGTTCTCATGATAGTGAGTAAGTCTCATGAGACATGATGGCTTTGTGAGGCAGAGCTTCCCTGCAAAAGCTCTCTTTTTTTTTGCCTGGTAACAACCACGTAAGAAATGACTTGCCCTTCCTTGCCTTCTACCATGATTGTGAGGCTTTCCCAGGCACATGGAACTATAAGTCCAATTAAACCTCTTTCTTTCTCAGGTATGTCTTTATCAGCAGCATGAAAACAGACTAATACAATAAATTGGTACCAGTAGAGTGGGGTGTTGTTGAAAAGATACACAAAAATATGGAAGATATTATGGAACTGGGTAACATGCAGGGGCTGGAACGGTTTGGAGTGCTCAGATGATGTTAAGGTGAAAGCTTTTTATTATGTAATTTTCATTTTACTTTCACAGTCAGACTTGATTTTCAATATATTTTTGTTATAAAAAAGTATTACATATCTCTGAAATTTGGAACTTCCTAGAGACTTGTGGAATGGCTTTGGCGAAAATTCTAATAGTTATATGAACAATAAGGTCCAGGCTGAGGTGGTCTCAGATGGAGATGAGGAATTTGTTGAGAACTGGAGTTAAAGGTGACTCTTGTTATGTTTTAGCAAAGAGACTGGCAGCATTTTGTCCCTGCCCTAGAGATCTGTGGAACTTTGAAATTTGGAGAGATGATTTAGGGTATCTGGTGGAAGAAATTTTTAAGCAGCAAAGCATTTAAGAGGTGACTTGGGTGCTGTTAAAGGCATTCAGTTTTAAAAGTTTTAAAAGGGTAACAGAGCATAAAAGTTTGGAAAATTTGCAGCCTGACAATGTGATAGAAAAGAAAATCCCATTTTCTGGTGAGAAATTTAAGCTGGCTGCAGAAATGAGCATAAATAATGAGAAGCCTAATGTTAATCACCAAGGCAATGGGGAAAATGCCTCCAGGGCATGTCAGAGGTCTTCAGACAAGGCAGCACCCCTCATCACACACCGAGAGGCCTAGTAGAAAAGCATGGTTTTATGGGTCAGACCATGAGTCCCCAAGCTGTATGCATTCTAGGGACTTGGTGCCCTGTGTCCAGGCTACTCTAGCCATGACTAAAAGGGCCAAGGTACAGCTCAGGCCATGGCTTCAGAGGGTGCAAGCCCGAGCCTTGGCAGCTTCTATGTGGTGTTGAGCCTTCAGGTGCACAGAAGTAAAAAATTGAGGTTTGGGAACCTCTGCTTAGATTTCAGAGGATGTATGGAAACACCTGGACATCCAGGCAGAAGTTTGCTGTAGGGGCAGGGCTTTCATGGAGAATCTCTGCTAGGGCAGTGCAGAAGGGAAATGTGGGATCAGAGCCCCCGCACACAGAGTCTTTACTGGGGCACTGCCTAGTGGAGCTGTGAGAAGAGGGCCATTGTCCTCCAGACCTCAGAATGGTAGATTCACCAACAGCTTGCACCGTGTGACCTCTTGCTTCAGCGTGACCTGGATGTGAGATACGGAGTCAAAGGAGATCATTTTGCAGCTTTACGATGTGACCGTTGTATCTAGGAAGTAACTTACTTGCTTTTTATTTACAGGCTCATAAGCAGAAGGGACTTGCCATGTCTCAGATGAGACTTTGTACTGTAGACTTTTGAGTTAATGCTGAAATGAGTTAAGACTTCGGGGGACTTTGGAGTTAATGGTGAAATGAGTTAAGACTTTGGGGGACTGTTGGGAAGGCATGATTGGTTTTAAAATGTGAGGACATGAGATTTGGGAGGGGCTAGAGATGAAATAATATGGTTTGGCTGTGCCCCCACCCAAATCTCATCTCCAGTTCCCACATGTTGTGGGAGGTACTGATGGGAGGTAATTGAATCATAGGGGGAGGTCTTTCCCGTGCTGTTCTTGTGATAGTGAATAAGTCTCATGAGATCTGATGGCTTTATAAGGCAGAGTTTCTCTGCACAAGCTCTCTTTTTTTGCCTGCTGCCATTCATGTGAGACATGACTTACTCTTCTTTATCTTCCACCATGATTGTGAGGCTTCCCCAGCCACATGGAACTATAAGTTTAATTAAATGTCTTTCTCTTGTAAATTGCCCAGTCTCTGGTATGTCTTTATTAGCAGCGTGAAAGTGGACTAATACTGTGTGTGTGTGTGTCTATATGTGTGCACGTGCACGCATGTGTGTGTATACAGGCATACCTCAGAGATATTGCAGGTTTTGCTCCAGACCACTACAATAAAGCAAATTTTGCAATACAGTGAGTCAAGGAATTTTTTTTTGTTCTCTCATGCATATAAAAGTTATGTTTACACTATGCTGTAGTCTATTCAATGTGCAATAGCATCATATCTGAAAACAATGTAAATATCTTTTGAATACTTTATTGCTTAAAATTGCTAATAATTATATCAGCATTCAGTAAGTCATAATCTTTTTGCTGGTTGCGGCTCTTGCCTTGATATTGATAGCTGCTCATTCATCAGGGTGGTGGGTGTTAAAGGTTGTGGTGGCTGTGTAAATTTCTTAAAATAAAACAATGATGATCTTTGTCACATCAGCTGACTCCTCCTTTCACAAAAGATTTCTCTGTAACCTGCAATGCTGTTTGATAGCATTTCATCCACAGCAGAACACCTTTAAAAATGGAATCAACCCTTTCAAAACCTGCCACCGCCTTATTAACTAAATTGAGGTAATATTCCAAATCCTCTGCTGTCATTTCATCAATGTTCACAGCATCTTCACCAGGAATAGATTACATCTCAAAAAAAAGAAAAAAAACACTTTCTTTGCTCATCCATAAAAAAACACTCCTCATCCATTCAAGTTTTGTCATGTGATTGCAGCAATTCAGTCATCTCTTCAGGCTCCGCTTGTAGTTCTAATTCTCTTGCTGTGTCCACCACATCTGCAGTTACTTCCTCTACTGAAATCTTGAACTGCTCAAAGTCATCCATGATGGTTAGAATCAACTTATTCTAAACTCCTATTAATGTAGATATTTTGATCTTCTCTTATGAATCACACACGTTCTTGATAGCATCTAGAATGGTGAATCTTTTCTGGAAGGTATTCAATTTACCTTGCTCACATCCATCAGAGGAATGACTATCTGTAGCAACTATAGCCTTACAAAATGTCTTACTTCAATAATAAGACTTGAAAGTGCAAATTACTTTTTGATCCATGAGCTGCAGAATGAATGTTTGTGTTAGTGGGCATCAAATGGCATTAATCTTGTAGAGATCCACCAGAGAAACAGGATGACCAAATATGCTGTCAATGAGCAGAAATATTATGAAATAAATCTTTTTTCTGAGTAGAAAAAAAATCCTGGACTTAAAATATATAAAACCATGCTGTAAAAAGTTGTGTTGCATTCCAGGATTTGTTCTTCCACATATAGAGCACAAGCAAAGCAGATTTACCATAATTCTTAGTGGCTCTAGCATTTTCGGAATGGTAAAGGTGCATTGGCTTCAACTTATAGGTGCTTTAGCCTATAACAAGAGAGGCGGCCTGTCATTGAAAGCTTTAGAGCCAGATTTTGACTTTTACTCTCTAACTATGAAAGTCCTAGTATTTCTTATCTTTATCCAATAAAAGGCAATAGAAGGTTCCTTATGCTACATTGAAAATGTGTTGTTTAATGTAGTCTATCAATGATCTTAACTAGATCTCCTGGATTACTTGCTGTGCTTCTACATTATCACTTGCTGCTTCACCTTGCAATTTTATGTTATGTAGATGGCTCCTAATGAACCAACCTCTGCTAGCTGCTGACTTTTCTTCTGCAGATTCCTTACCTCCCTCAGCCTTCATAGAATTGAAGTGAGTTATGGCCTTGCTCTAGATTGGGCTTTTGTTTAAGGGAATGTTGTGGCTGGTTGATCTTCAATGTAAAACTTTCTTGTTATCAGCAATAGGCTTTTTTGCTTTTTTGTCATTCATGTGTTCATTGTAGGAGAACTTTTAATTTTCTTCAATAATTTTTTTTTACACTAACAGCTTGGCTAAGTGTTTGATAAAGAGACCTGGCATTCAATCTATGTCAGCTTTCAATATGCCTTCTTCAATGAGCTTAATCATTTCTAGCTTTTGATTAAAAATGAGAGAAATGCAACTCTTCTTTTCAT
Source organism: Homo sapiens (assembly GCF_000001405.40). Taxonomy (NCBI): domain Eukaryota; kingdom Metazoa; phylum Chordata; class Mammalia; order Primates; family Hominidae; genus Homo; species Homo sapiens. The sequence goes on from NC_000007.14 coordinate 89,140,983, forward strand.
TTGAACCCTTAGAGGACATTGTAGGATTATTAATTGGCCTAATTTCAATATTGTTATATCCCCAGGAATAGGAGGGCCAAAGGAGAGGAGGGGAGATGGGGAACAGCCTGTCAGTGGAGCAGAGAGAACACACAGCACTTATGGATTAAGTTGGCCATCTTAGATGAGTACAGTTCATGTCATCCCAAAACAATTACAATAGTAACATCAAAGATCACTGATTAAAGATCACCATAACAAATATAATAATAATTAAAACATTTAAATATTGCAAGAGTTACCAAAATGTGACAGAGAGAGAAGTGAGCGCATGCTTTTGGAGTAATTGGGCTAATACCCTTGGTCAACACAGGATTGCCACAGATATTCCATTTGTTAAAAAAGACACCTTCTGTGAAGTATAATAAAGTGAAGCACAATAAAGTGTGGTATCTTGTTCATATATGTGTGTGTATTCCATTTTTTATTGATATATTCATCAATGGACATTTGGGTAATGCTCACCTTTTGGTTATTGTATATAATGCTGTTATGAACATTAGTGCTCAAGCATCTGTTCAAGTCCTTACTTTCAATTCTTTTGGGAATATGCCTAGACATGGTATTGCTGGATTACATGGTAATTCTATGTTTAACTTTTTTGAGGAATCACCATATTGTCTTTTGCAATAGCTTTACCACTTTATATTCCTACCAGCAATGTCCAAGAGTTCCAATTTTTCCACATCTTGCCAACACTCATCTTCTGTTTTTCTCTTTTTAAGTAAAGAATTTTAAGTGCCAAAAACAATATATGGGAGATTTGTAAGTATATTTTTTTTCTAGGAATTTTGACCACAGCAATATCTAGGAGGGGACTTCCAAAAGCTCCTGAAATAATAGAATTGAAAGATAAAAAAAGAAAAAATATATAATAATAATAATAATAATAACTGTATTTCTCAACATAAACTTCATCAAGTTCAAGATAGTTTTGTAAACAATGATACCAGACATTTATTCCATCCCTAAAGAATTGAGGGTCCTGAGAATGTAACCATGTCAATGCTATCTTTTTTACATTATTAATGGAAGAAAAACAAGTGCCTTTAAAGATTTTTTTAAGATTAAGAAACAAAGCAGTAGCCAGAGGAGCCAAATCAGGACTGTAAAGTGTATGCCTAATGATTTCCCATCAAAACTCTTGCAAAATTGCCTTTATTGGATGATAGGACTGAGACGGAGCATTGTCCTAAAAAAAAAGAAGGATTCTCTGGTGAAGGTTTCTTCAGGGTTTCTTTTTTGTTTGTTTGTTTTTTGTTGTTTTTTGTTTTATTTTTCTTTTGTTGTTGTTGTTGTTGTTTGTTTTTGCTAAAGATTTGGCTAAATTTCTCAAAGCACTCTTACAATAAGAACATATTATTGTTCTTTGACCATCCAGAAAGTCAACAAACAAAATGCCTTGAACATTCCAAATACCATTGCCATGACCTTTGCTCTTGGCAGATGTGGTTTTGCTTCAAGTGACTTCCTCCTCTTGGTATCCATTGCTTTGATTGTGCTTTGTCTTCAGGATTGTACCAGTAAAGCTATGTTTCATCTCCTATTATAATTCTTGGAGTAAATTTTCAGGATCTTGATCCCACTTGTTTAAAATTTCCATTAAAAGCTCTACTGTTGCCTGTGGCTTGCCTGGGCACAATGGTTCTGGCACCCATTCAGTGGAAAGTTAGTTCAACTTTTTCAGTCAGAATTGGGTTGAGATGTTTATGATGTTGGCTATTTTTTTGTGCTATTAATTCTTAGTTCTCTTCAGTTAGAATACTGATGTTACCAGGAATTCTGGGTTGAGATGTATTATTTAACTGAGGACATCCACAGAACTGGAGCATTGGACCAGCAATCTCAGTTTTTGTGATAGTGAACAAAGAATTGCAAACTAACACCAAAATGCAAGTTCAAAGCAGAGTTTATTGAAGCACTGTAATATACTCTCAGAGGGAGAGCAGACCTATTTCTGTGAAGTGAAATCAGCCCCTCTTTACAAAACTCAGAGGACTTTCATGGAGGTTTTGTGGGAGGAGTTGAGGTTTGGGCTATGTGTGAGTGACAAGATGAAGTCATTTGATTGGCAGTTTACGGATACATAGCTAAAATTAAACTGTACATGTTTTTACCCATAATTTGTTAAGAAAAGCCAAGTTGGAGGGTGGGGGGGTTGGTAAAGCCACATGTAAATTTTATTATAACGATGGTATAATGAGCTTGGGATGAACTTGAGGACACAGTTCTGTGTTAGGGGATTTCCACCTGTGCCCTAGTTTCTCCTTCTCCAGGACATGTTGGACACAGATTTTATTACAAACTCCATCCTTTAGGATGGATGGAGTTAGGGAAGTTCTGGGGCTGAATTTAGATGAGCTATGGGCTGTCTTAGTGATAACCTTTTTGTTCTCTTTTCTTACCCGCTCCCAGCTTCTAATATCTATCTAACTACCTAACACTAACAAAATTATATTTTTAAAGACATAGATGTGGATGATCTGCCACTTTGGGATTCATCTTCAACATCAACTTATCCTTTTTAAAATGAATTATCTATTTGTAAAGTGCTTATTTCTTTAGAGCATTTTCCCCAAAAACTTTTTTAAGACATAAATGATTTCACATTCTTCCACTAATCTTCACCATAAATTTGATGTTTGTTCTTGCTTTAGTTTTAGCAGAATTCAATTTGTTCTGATAGGAACTCTCTTCAAATTGATGTCTTATTCTTTTTAGTGTCTCAAACTAGATTCTGTTCAGAAATGCTATAACAAGTAAGTATGAGTTTATTTAGGTACAAAAATGTTTAAAATGTATGCATAGTTTTTTCATAATATGCATTTTTCATGAACTTTTTGAAAACCCCTTGTATCACATTCTCTTCCCATTATTCTAACATGGGCTGGTGGCAATAGCCTTAAATTAATGCTGGTATAAAAGTCAAACCAAGTAGCTATATTCTCTCCAATAATATTAGCTACATCTTATTACACCCGTCTCCTTTTCTAAAAAGTGTCTAGTCATAATTACTCCTACTGAATGAAAAAAAGTAGATATTTATTTGTGTAAATTCTTATAATACAGTATTTATGAAACCTCCACAATTCTCCAAAAGCAGAGAATATACATTTGAATTCATTTAAAGAAACAAAACAATTTCAATTTGATTCAGATAGATCACATAAACTTAATCCCCTCTTTATATTTTTCTTTATTTTCAATGGATCCTATAACATATATATGTCATTTCTATTTTGAGAAAAAAGTCATACAAATAGTCGTAAGCTTTAAGATCTGGATTAATATGCATTATTTTATTTTAAAGTAATGAGTAGGTGAAAGTCAGTGTTATCTAGCATGGAATTTGATCTTATTCTGCTCTTTCAAAAAAGAAATTACAACTGTAAGTAACATATTTTAAGAAGACTATTAGCCAGGCATAGAAAGAAAAATATTGAATGATCTTAGCTATATAGAGAATTAGAAAAAGTGGAACTAATAGGAATGCAGACTAGAAAATGGTTATCAGAGGCGGGGAAGGGTGATGGACAAGGAAAAGGGAGATGTTGATCAAAAGGTATAAGGTTTCAGTTAGACAGGAGAAATAAGATTTAGTGATCTATTATGCAACATGGTGACTAGAAGAAATAATAAGGTAGATTTCAAAATTGCTAACATAATAGATTTTAAATGTTTTCACTAAAAATTAAGTATATGAGTTAATGAATTTGTTAATTAGCTTGATTTAATCATCCAACATTATAAACATATATCAAAATGTCACATTGTATCCTATGAATATATACAATTATTATTTGCCAATTAAAAATAAAATTTAGGCTGGGTGCCTATAATCCCAAGCATGTTAGGAGGCCAGGAGTTGGAGCTCAGGAGTTATAGTCCACCTTGGGCCAAATGGAGAAACTCCATCTCTATAGAAAATATAAAAATTAGCTGGGTGTGATGGTGCATTCCTGTAGTCCCAGCTACTTGAGAGGTTGAGATGGGAGGATTGCTTAAGCTTGGGAAGTGGAGGTTGCAGTGAGCCATGTTTTTGTCATTGCACTCCAGCCTGGGTGACAGAGTGAGACTCTGTCTCAAATAAAATTTAATTTAATTCAAAAAAACGAAAATAAATGATATAAACTACAACAAATAAGACTGACATCTAAAATGACAATATAATTTTAATAAATCAAATTACACTTAATTATATATTTAATAGTTTAAAAAATATTGCCAATTAACTGACAACTGAAAAGCAGAGAAGGAGCCATTATTCATAGATAACAGATGGGCACATTTAAAGATTCAGGAGTAGAACCATAGCTATTTCTTGATAAGACAATAATATAAACAGTAAGGGGCTTTTCCACAAATGAAGGCACTATCTTAAAATAGAGATATTTTAAACATGAGGTTTTGATTGCTTTAATGACCTAATGCATTCATACATTTAAAATTTACTTAATATCTACTATGTGTCCAGTACTGTGCTAGGCAAGAGCAGACTCAAACAATTCTTTGGTTTTCTAATTCAGGTATTATTCAATTCTTTACAGCCATCATATTTTTATTTAAGAAATGGCTTGTACTACCTAAACTAATTGTAACCTTAAATGAAGTAACAACTTATAATCAATTTAATACATTCATTGACTAATTCCACAAACATATACTTATTTCCCACTCTGGACCAGACCTTATGCTCCATGTTAGTGAGCAGGTATGATGCTTTTCCCTCCCTAAATAGTTCAGAGACATTTCATTATAATTGATTCTGGATCAGTGCACTAATCCAGAGGATAAATCCTCTTTTTTCATTTTTGGTTAGTTATATAAAGCTTAGGATAAGGAATTTAAAAAAAAGCTATTTCTTAACCTTTAAAGACACAAGAGATTTTCTATTTATTTTCTCAATTCTGTGCTGCATTAGCTAATCTCAAAAACTTTCTGGCATGATACCAAAATGAACTGAGATCTTCAGCATGCTTTGAATCAGTCTCCAAATAAAGAGATCATTGAGCTTCCAAATGATGTTGAAACTCATTATCCTCCAACAGGGAAGCATTAAGCCATTATCCCCTGGAAACATTATTACTATGAAACATCTGCAAACATCAGTACATGGTCAGAGATTGATGAGATCCACTTTTTTGTAGGTTTAAATATATTCAAAAGATGAAGAAAATCAATGAACATTTATAAGTAATGAGAGAAAAAAGATCTTATAGCTTAAGCCCATTTTGTAGGATGTAGTAATGTACCCATAAAACTACAGAATTACTTATAAGCCTATTAGGATGTGACATTAATCTAAATGTGGGGATAATGAACATAGCTATAGAAATTGACAATCAGGAATTTGTAAGAGTGAATGCATTGAAATTATGAGCCATCTAAATGAAATAAATTGGAAATCAACAATGGATATAATTGACAAGCTGGAAGTAGCTTCCCTGTTAGAGGTCTTGTAGACTTATGGAAATAAAATAAAGTCATTCAAATATTAATAGTCAATTTTTCTTCCTAAAATCTTTCAGATAAATAGAAAACTCTCAAAATGATCAACCTTGAAATATTTCAGAAGTTCTTTCAGCTTTCCTAAAACTAAGGAAATCAAAATATTCAGAATAACTGTAAATGAGATAGAACTGTATTCTGTGGCTCAGTCGAATTAGGATAAAAAGAACTTTATGTAAATTAAATTAAGATATTAAAAATTAATAAGATAATTGGCCAGGTGTGTTGGTTCATGCCTGTAATCTGAGTACTTCGGGAGGCTGAGACGGGGTAGATTGCTTGAGCTCAGAAGTTCAAGACCAGCATGGGCAATATGGCAAAACCCTGTCTCTACAAAAAATAACAGAAATTAGCTGGGCATGGTTGTTTGCACCTGTTAATCCCAACTACTTGGGAGGTCAAAATGGGAATGATCACTTAAGCCTGGGAAGTGCGGGTTGCATGAGCCAAGATTGCGCCACTGCACCATAGTCTGTTGCAGTGAGACCCTGTCTCAAAAAACAAACAAAAAAACCCCAGAGTGAGACCTTGTATCAAAAAATAGGATAATCAGGTATATATATATATATATATTTAATGTTTAAAATATTAACATTAATATACATTTAGTGTAATAATAAACATTAATATACATTTAATGTTTAAAAAGTACAGGACCACAAAGTGATTCTGTGAGCAGTCCTTAAAAACATCTGTCATATTACAGCTACGCTGTGAGTATGTTTCAAAATGTTGAACAATTATCACCTGAATCTTTAACCCAGGTATTGGAGAGCAATGACCAGATCCCTATTGGCTTTGTTGGCAATTAAAAGGATGGTAAAGATTTCTTTTCTCATCTTAAAATTGTGTTTGCTTTCCTATTAGCAAGTATTAACATAATATAAAAAGTGATCTAATATTACAGATCAAGGTGTCAAAATTGTTTTCATGTTGAATTAAATCATTGTTTTAAATTATTGAATGTAGAAACTAGCAATTATTACATTATTTCACATACACAGAACAAGAAAAAATGTAGAGTATAGAGCAGTGGTCCCCATGCCCTGGGCTGCTACCAGTCTGTTGCCTGTTAGGAACCAGGCCATACAGCAGGAGGTGAGCCATGAGCGAGAAATCTTCATCTTTATTTACAGCTACTCTGCATGGCTCACATTACCACCTGAGCTCTGCCACCTGTCAGATCAGCAGCAGAATTAGATTCTCATAGGAGAACGAACCCTATTGTGAACTGTGCATGCGAGGAAGCTAGGTTGTGCGTTCCTTATGAGAATCTAATGTCTGATGATCTGTCACTGTCTCCCATCACCCCCAGATGGGACCATCTAGTTGCAGGAAAACACGCTCAGGGCTCCCACCAATTCTACAATATGCTGAGTTGTATAATTATTTCATTATATATTACAATGAAATATATAATAGAAATAAAGTGCACCATAAATATAATGCATTTGATTCATCCCGAAAGCATCCCTTGCCCTGTCTGTGGAAAAATTGTCTTTCATGAAACCAATCCCTGGTGCCAAAAAGGTTAGGGACCACCTACATAGGCTGTGCTTAGGAGTCATTTTGATATAGATGAATATGCCAGCTCTGCTATTTTTTATACCTGTAATCTGAGACAAATCTATTAAACTTTCTAAATTTAAATGTTCTCATCTGCACAAGGTATATAATATCTATATCTTAGGATTGTTATATATGGTTACTTCTTATAAAATACTTAGTAGACCACCTCACACATAGTACTCTTCCAAAATTATTAGCTATTATTAGTGATTATTATTTAATCATATTAGTTACTAGTGAAAGTGTTTGCAGTGTGTATGGTATAACTGTGGCTTCCAGATACTTGTAGCATACAGATAGCAAATAAGAGTATTTGAGCAGGAAAGGAAAGAGAAATAGGCAAGGCATTCATTCTCTTGGAAAATTCCATGTCATTCTATTTGCATTTTACATTTAACTATCTCTGCTTGAAACACAGAAAAATGTCACTTATACTATTTGAAGTTATTCTAAAATAATGTTATGTATTTAAAAATATTAATACAAGTAGTTGAACAAAATAAAGCTAATTTGAAAATTAAATCAATATTATCTCTAAAGATATAAAAATCCCAGATTTACCCAGGAAAACTTCTGCTATTGAAATGTAGTCACTTAAGAGGTTTGTGAACAGAATTTTTAAAAATCCCAGTCCACAAACCATCATGTCAGAGAGACAATACCTAGAAAATCTAATAAATTATGTTGTATTGACTACATCTGCTGAATAGTCCCTTATGTGAATTCATTCAATCTATTCCATTCTTTGATGAATATCCTTGTTCTAAAAAAAGTCTCAATTTTTATTTCTTTTCTTTCTATTATTGGCTGAAAGAAGCTAGCCATAAACAATCAGGTCCACAGCTGCCTATGAGAATTATGAGGCTCTTTCAGAGTTATTGGGAAACTCCCTGAGTTGCTGCCCTGCAGACTTAGGCTGATTTTTTGCTTTTGGCTCCTTATCTTGTCACTCAATAGAAGAAGGCATCAGAAGGTTACCACCAAGCTGAAACTGAAATAGTCTCCACTGACCCCATGGCATGAACCTTTCATTTTGTTCTCTGGGATGGGTCACATCTTATTTGTCCATTGTAAATTTGTAGTGTCTATTCACTGAATTCCCTTTCAGTATTTTAAATCAATTTCTCAGGGGCTTCCTAGGAAAACAAGCACAAAAGAACAGAATTTGAGATGCCACTCATGAACTTACTTGTCTTGTCTTTGCAAGTAGGATCCAGTCCAAATAAAGGTACAAAGCCTTGGTCAAGAATTTCAGTTTTTTAAACCTTATATAAAGAAACTCACAAATCTGTCATTCCCTTAAGTTAATTATAGTTACCCTATGTTTGCCAGCCTTATAGTGTATATAAAATTGGTTATAAATTAACATTACAAATAAAGTTATTATTTTACTTCTTTGAAAGTAATTAATTGATACATAGTGAATTAATATGCACAGGCAGTTTTATTTCATCAACTATTCTATTGCAAAAATACCAAGTCACTTTTCAAATCTTAATGTTAGAATAGTCATTATCTAAAACTTGAGATAAGAGTTTCATTACTTAACATATAGTGAAAAAGAATTCTTAATTCTATTTTCATTGTAAGTACTTAATCTCTGAGATTTCACCCTTCCAAAATTTCCCACATTCCTGACCCAATGAAGCAAATGGTGATCCCCATTTTGGCATACCAGATTGGCAGGAGCAAGAGGCTTTTGCAGGGATTCCTAAAATTACATGAAGTCATTACTGATATTTGCCCAGTAGGTACTTATTTCACATATTCACTGTTGACAGTTGGACTCAACTACTGGTCTCCTTTAGGACTAGACTTGATTCCACTCTCATTGGTCCATATCTGTGCCATGATAATTGTTAATTTTGAATGCAGTAGTCTACCCCCACTATCCATGGTTTCAGTTACTTGCAGTCAACCTTGATCCAAAAATATTAAGCAGAAAATATCAGAAATAAACAATTCATGTTTTAAATTCCACGCCATTTTCAGGAGTGTGATGAAATCCTGCATTGTCCCACTCCATCCCTTTCAGTCATGAATCATTCTGTTACCTGGCCTATTCAGCTGTATTTACTATTTGCCCAGGAGTCAGGAGCCATCTAGGTTACTAGATTGAAAAAGCCTAGGAGATACAGAGTTCGGTACCATCCGAGATTTTAGGTATTCACTAGGAGTCTTGGAATATATGCCCCTAGGATAAGGGGAAGCTACTGTAATATGTATTGTTGCCCCACTAGAAAACCTGATGCTATGTTGAGGCCCAGGAAGCTACAAATGTATATGCACACGCATTATTTCTCTTTCAGATTCTAGTGAGTGCACTTAGAGAGAAAAGCATTGTCTTGTTAGAAAAAGCATGGGCCTGGGAATTTGTCATCCTGGCCTCCAGACGCATTTTTGCATTAATTAAATTTCTGCCCTTAGGTAGATCATTTAACCCTGTCTGCATTCCATTTCATCTGGAAAGTGTGAAAGTTTTAAGTGTATATAAAAGATTTAAGATTTATAGAGAGGATATATGTCCATCTAATATGCTTTTCATTTAAAAATTATATTTCCATTTTGGGTCATTGCTAAGTAGAAGAGATGCAGTTGAAAAATGAAATGCTTACCTATCAGTGGACAAAATGAGAAATGTTGAAAAAAGTCCAAATGAAGAGTGAGAGACGCTGGAGGGGAAGGAAAGACAGAGAGCTTGGCTGAGGCTTTCTAAGAGGCCAGTCCTTCCCAGAGAGCATGGTAGGCTCTTTGGATGGTATACAGATATTGTGAGGCCTTTAGTTATCATTTGACGAGTTTCTACTTCAGTAATTAGTGCACAGTTTAAGCACTTAAATAACTGAACTCTTGTGCTTAAGGTGTAATTAGTCTGAAGAGCAAAGGAAATATTATTAAAAATAAGATTGACTTTGTACATCAGAACTATTAATAGTACAGCTCCTATTGCATATGATGTAGTAGGTGCTTTAGAAAGGAAAGAAAGTTTAGATGTAAGAGATCTGGAAATCAAACGGTTAGATTATAAAATATAAATTTAAAGGCAGCATAATCAATTAAATATATCCAACCATCACTAAATCTGAAATTTGGAATACTACAATTGACTCCTCTTCTAGCAATTTAAGGAAACAAAATGTGGTATATAATGGCCATTGAACATTTATCATTATTAGTAAAGTCTGAACAGGAATTGTATTGCTTTTATTTTATTAGAAACTTTTTGATGCCATTTATATTTATTCACTCAACAATAATCTGATCTAGCATTAACGTCATCATCCTCCCATCCCCATATGATTTTGAGACATATTGTACAATCTAGAAATAACACTGGTAAACATTGAAAACACCTGTAATCACTTCATGACTTAATCATCAACGTAGAATTGAACTCACAGAAAATAATTTGTTTCACTGAGAAGAGAGACCATGGATGTTGTCCATGATTATTGCCATTAAATTTCATCATTCATTATGTGTTTCTGGCTACAGAATGATAAATGAATTTACTGTGAAATGTAAAACTGCTACATATTCAGGAATATAAAATAAAATGTGGCTGAGAATAAGCATCTAAGTAAACTTCTTCAGATCTCCTGAAAAAAAAAAATAATTTTCCTGAAAGTGAGTGGCACAGCCCCATAAGCCAAATTTAAAGAACCTTTTGTTAGGCTCTTTAACATGGCAATGGTATGATGTTGGGGGAAGAGGGGATACATGAAAATTCACACTCATAGGCTATGATCTACCTCCTAGGCAGGAACTACTGTCTGAGGGTCACATGATAAGATACCTAAGTGGGTTTGTTTATTGGTTTCCCTGTTTTAGTCTTGTATGGGTGTGGAATATTATTGAATGTTGGGCTTTTTTGGCATCAATTTTTATAATCTTTTGTTCTTGTTTTTTCTCTGTCTCTATTTTGTATGTGTTAACATATGAATAGAACTAGCAGAACTATCAGTGTTAAACTACCCTGGTGTTCCTGTGATTAACCCAACTGGGATATTATGCAGTATTATTTATATGGATTTGGCTTACCATCTTTTGCTTAGAATTTTTCCATCTATTTTAAGTGAGATAAGAGAGCTAAGTTTTAAAAATATTTCATAGCAAATAGTCAAGTAATGTTTCAGACTACTGCATGGTTTTTTCTTTTTTTTTTTGTATTTGTATACATTTATGGGGAAGAGGTATGATTTAGTTTCCCTGAAACTACCTATTTGCTTTGCAAAAATTTTCTTCTTACTGTGGAGAGATATTTTAGGAACTAATAGGTCTTTTTAAGGAAACAGTTGTCAGAAGTTTAGAAAATTTTTCAGCTTCAGTTTTTTTCTATTAAATTCAATTAAAATTAAAACATTTTTATTAAAAAATGTGTATGAATGTGTCCCATTTTTCAATTCATTATGCATTCTATCTGAACATATGCAGAAAGAGGTGTCTAAATAATGTTTGTACATTATTATGATCTTTATGTTTCAGTTTTAGGTGATTCAAAATTTTATTTAGTCATTTCTAGTTCATAAATTTATGTCATAATCATACATGGTTTTATCAGCAAAGAAAGCTGTAATTCTTTTTAAAATAAAATATATAGTTACCTGTTTTCTTGCCTTTAACATCAATGTTGAGGCAATGTGCCTCAATATTTTCTTTTTCTACAATTAAGTCTAAATTATTATCACTGCAAATTGACATCTTTGTGCATAACCTGCGCATATGCTGGGCTGATGTTCCAACGACAAGCACCCTTAGGGTCTGAAGGCTAGGGTCTGCTTGAGATCCATGACCATCTGTTCTGATTGGCCTTTGCCCCTGCCACCTTTGTCTTTAAACATTTGGGCTGTCATCCACAGGTGTATGAAAGAAAATATTAACTAAACTTAAATGTCATAAATCTTTGTAAATAAAGATTATAAAATAATATTATTATAAACTAAGACTCAAAAGCAAATACTATATTTTATTTTTCACCATCAGCATGAAAATAATGTGTGAACTAAGAGTTCATTTATTATTTGCTTGTTTGAAACCTGAGGAAAACTGACCAGATGACCTCGCTCATAGTTCTAGCAGAATGAGGCAATGAGGAGGGGTAAAAAAAGAATCATGAGGAAAAATGACTTGAGTTCCAGATTTGAAACCAACAGAGGTCACCCAAAGGAAAGAAGAAGAAGCTATCAATTACCATAGCAAGATGTTGATTCTGAGTTGGCTCTCAGATCTTCCCGTCTCCCTGCTCCTTTCTTGTGGCAGTCAGGGACCGGTGAATCTGCTTCTTTTTCTGATGCTGGTACTTTAACACTACTACTAATGATGATGATGATGATAATAATAATAATAATAATAATAATAATAATAATTTTTGCTCTATTTTCTTTTTCTGAATAGACGTTTACTTTTGTACCTTACCCAAGAGCAAAAATGAATTTCCGAAGCCTGGTTATTAGTCTCTAGAGATATAATAAGGTTTTTCACTACTAGCAATAATAGCAAAGAAAAATTTAACATTTCTAGGTATCATAAGACAAGTGGTCACGATGAAAACTGGAATCAGACCTAGGACCAGTTCTGTGGAAAAGTAGAATCACTTTCTCACATCAGATTTTACTTTCTAGTTCTTTGCTTGCTTCTACTTGTATCTCTCCTCTGAGACTGTTCTATTGAAGGTCTTCAGTTATATCAATGCAAGAATTAAGTATATACACCTTTCAGCTTTTGACTGAAATTATTTCATTTCTCTAGGCACTTGAGACAGTAGCCTATTCTGTTATCTGTGAAAGGTTCTTCATAGATGCTGAGACAACTTCTCTCATTTCTTTCCGTTTTGACCATTCACTCAGATGCTTCTTTGCTTATATGCTGTAGCCTTCCCCATCACCTTTTAAAAATTATTCTGTTCAGAATATGTAAGGAACACAAACAAATCCATAGGAAAAAATCTAATAATCCAATCAAAAAATGGGCAGAAGTTTTAAATGGATATTTCTCAAAAGAAGACATACAAATGGCAAACAGGCATATGAAAATGTGCTCAACATCATTGATTATAATAAAAATGCAAGTTAAAACTACAGTGAGATATCATCTCACCAGTTAAAATGGCTTATATCCAAAACACAGGCAATAACAAATGCTAGTAAAGATGTATAGAAAAGGGAACACTTATACACCACTGGTGAGAATGTCAATTAGTACATCCACTATAGAGGACAGTTTGGAGTTTCCTCAAAAAACCAAAATTAGAGCTACCATATGATCCAGCAATCCCTCTGCTGGGTATCAGTATATCAGAGAGATATCTGTATTTCCATGTTGGTTGCAGCACTGTTTACAATAGCCAACATTTGGAAGCAACCTGTCTCCATAAACAGATGAATGGATAAAGAAAATGTGGTACTTACACACAATGGAGTACTATTCAGCCATAAAAAACAATGAGATCCTGTCATTTGCAACAACATGGATGGAACTGGAGATCATTATGTTAAGTGAAATAAGCTACCCACAGAAAGACAAACATCACATGTTCTCACTTATTTGTAGGATCTAAAAATCAAAGCAATTGACCTCATGGACATAATGAGTAAAAGGATGGTTACCAGAGGCTAGGGAGAGTAATGGGGGGCTGGGAGGGAAAAGTCGGGATGGTTAATGTGTACCAAACAAATAGTAAGAGAGAATGAATAAGACCTACTATTTGATAGCACATCAGAGTAAATATAGTCAATAATCAATATACATTTAAAAATAACTACAATAGTATAAATATACATTTAAAAAATCCTGTAATTGTGTTACAGGATTTTTTGTAACACAAAGGATAAATGCTTGAGAGGATGGATACCCATTTCCCATGATGCGATTATTACATATTACATGCCTATATGAAAAATGTGATATGCTCCATCAATGTATGTACCAACTATGTACACAAAAAATTAAAAATTAAAAAATATTCTATTTAAAAAATCCATATATCTTATTGTATGTTTCTTCTAGAGTCACCGGCTCCACCCTGATGCTTTCAAAAACTACCTATTTGTTGATAAATTGTTTCAGATTTCTCTCTTGGGGTTTATAACTGTTAATATCTACTCAGTTTTTGGTTTGATATCACTGGCTGGCTGCTGCATGTTACTTCACACTGGATAAATCCAACAGAGCCATTTTATCATCCAACAAGAAAAAAGGAGTTAGCTCAGATTTTTCCCTTTGCTGAATGTTCCACTTTCGAACAGCCTCTAATTTTATAAATGATATGATTTCTCATCCATAATATCTCATCTTTCACCTAAAAACCCATGCTGTTCTCTTCGCTCAACATCTTACCATCTCTCTCACCTGGATAATTGCAATGGACTCCTACCTGGTCTCTCAGCTTCAAACCTTATATCCTCAGATCTGTCCTGTACTCTGCTGTCAGTAAGGCTTCTAAAACACAAAACTAATAATTTTGTTCTCTTTCATTGTTTTGGTCCATTTTCTCCTGAATCAGGTATGTATCATGGCAAATGGGGGCCCTTCATTATCTGGCTCTGTGCCTTCCTTTCACTCTGTCCCGCCTTGCAGTTTGAACTTCAAGCACCCTGAATTCTTACCAGTTTTCGGAAGATAACAAACTCTGTTGAGTTGTTGTGTCTTTATATCATTGCCCATTCTATTATCTTTCTCTAGAATGCCTTCCTCTCAATAGGAACATTTGCTTTTTTTCTTCCCAGCACTTTGTTTAAATATTGTCTTTTCTAAAAAATTCCTTGACCACCCCTTTCTTCCTCCTTCCTTCTCTCTCTTTCTTCTTTCTTTCTTTCTCTTTCTTTCCCTTGCTTTCCCTTTCTCTCCCTTCCTACCTTCCCTCCTCTGTCTCTCTCTCTTTCCTTCCTTCCTTTCCTTCTTTCTTTCTTTCTTTCTCTCTTTCCTTTCTTTCTTTCTTTCTTTCTTTCTTTCTTTCTTTCTTTCTTTCTTTCTTTCTCTCTTTCTCTCTTTCCTTTCTTTCTTTCTCTCTTTCTCTCTTTCCTTCTTTCCTTCTTTCATGGAGTTTCACTCTTGTTGCCCAGGCTGGAGTGCAGTGGCACAATCTTGGCTCCCCACAACCTCCACCTCCCAGGTTCAAGCAATTCTCCTGCCTCAGCCTCCCGAGTAGCTGGGATTACAGCCATGAGCCATCACACCTGGCAAATTTTTTGTATTTTTAGTAGAGACGGGGTTTCTCCATGTTGGTCTGGCTGATCTCAAACTCCCGACCTCTGGTGATCCACCTGCCTTGGGCTCCCAAAGTGCTGGGATTACAGGCCTGAGCCACTGCACCTGGCCGACCACCTCTTTCTCAGAAGGAATTTACTCAGCTTTATTTCAGTGTTACTTCCATTGTAACGTTTGTGTACATCAATACTGCAGTCCTAATAATTCACTTTACAACTACAACATGGAAATAATATAGAACTCTGAAAATTGCTGGGAGTGTAAAATGAGATAAGTATGTGAAAATGCCAGGAACATAGCAGGTGCTCAGAAAAGCATGAACTTTTTTTTTTCTATCTATATATTTACAGAAACTGACTATCTCTGGAGCAATTTTTGTTATTTTTATTGGTTTCTCTAATTAAATGGTTGCTTTTGCACCATTTCTCTAATGCAAAAATTTAAAAATATATTTTATTTTGAAGTGTCTGTATGTTTGGAAGATAATGACAGAATTGTGAATGCTGGCGCCTAGATATACAAAGAACAACACCTATCAAGGTGTTTCTTACATTTCTTTTTCAAAGATGGCAATTACTGAATATTTAATTGCTGCATTAAGAAAGATTCGGAACTTGATAACCAGTGAGGGAGGAAGGAGGAGGGAGAAGGAGTTGTGGGGTCTACCCTTTTCGCTTATCTCTTCCTTTCCAACACACCTGCCACTTGAAATCACCCTCATTTACTCGAGACTGCCACAGATGCAGGAGAAATAGTAAGAAAATCTTTTTTGGTACAGGCTCTCTATTGGTGATACTGTTTATATTTAAGTCAGCAGTAAAATAAGATTTGCTTAAAACAAATGCCTAGGGTAGCTTCCTGTGAATATGGGATACATTTAGGTTGGACATAGTTAGGTTCAATATTTCTCTTATTCTGTAAAGTCACTTTAAACCAAAATCATGTTATCTGAAATATAAATTAATTAACACATCCTATTTAACAAAAGAAAATGTCAAGGTCTCCTAAGCTAATTAGTGATTCATCTTTCTCAACTATCATTTTTCATCCACAATTAGAGAGAAAGCTTTTGATTGTTGTAGCTATCATTTTTCTTTTTATAAGTTGTAAAACATGTACTAGGACACATCTTTGGTGAACATATTGTCATCTACCAATATAATGGCACATTATTTTTTTTCATCAAAATGATAAAGTCTTTTGATGAACATATTCTTTGATTTTATAAAAGTGATCAGGTTTCCAGTCCAGTGACTGCAATTTTAAAGGGATTCATTAAACACAGTGGACTAATTATCTTGAGCAGTCATCTTTCTCTGAGTTTTGAAAAGCCAGTCCAAAAGTGAATTTTATTATAGAGTTATTACAGAGAAAGATCTGTAAGTACACATCCAAATCTTTTCTAGTGTCTAGTTCAAATGTTTTTCCATCTTTTTTTTGGTTTGTGCACACTTATTTAGAGAAGGTAAAAGACAGGTCAGGTGTGTGACTGTGACCTGTACTAGAATTCTCTGCCAGGAAAGCAGTTTTGATTTGAAAAATTGCTTTCAAAAAAGTCTGAAAATAAGTAATTGAAACTAAAGTGGAAAATGTACTGAAAGTTAATACCGTAAGTTGAGCAAATAATTTCTTGCTCAAATATACTTGGTTTAATGACTCACAGCATAAAATACAATTATTGTAAAGTAATAGCCTATTCTTCTAATGTTTTGGAATATGTATGTTAATTTCAGGAAGCCTCATAAGCGCTGTTTTTTTTCATGGCAATGAAACCAACTTAACCCTAACCTTAAATTGGGGCTTAACAAAAGGATGCATCTCAACAATCTCATAACATGATTCTGGTTTGAATCACTTTCTTGGCTCTGGCCTCAAACTCTCTTCAGCTCCAGATTCTGGTTCAAACATCTACTAAATGTTCTGAAGTTCTTCAATGAAAAAGATTTGTCACTGACTTTCTTATCTTCTTAATGCAAACATCAGACTGCATTCTCTTTAAATTAATGGCACTGCCCTCCGTATAATCTTCCCAGCTAAAATTCTCAGAGTGCTCTTTAGTCCTCTTCCTCCCTTAGCCCTCCACACCCATTCCCTGACCATATCCCGTTAGCTTCATCTCTGAAATACTTCTCAGATCATTTTCTCTTTTCCGGTCTCAGGACCATTGTGTCAATTCCTGCTCCCACCTTCTCTGACCTTGATTATTGCTCTTGTTTTCTAACTGGTGTATCTGCTTCACCCTTACCTAATTTATTTTTATTTTAACTGCCACCAACTTAATGGAATAGAATACAAATCTTCTTCATCTTGCTTAAATACCTAGTTTTTCTCGATGAATTATAGTTTATACTCATTAAAGTATGTAAGTTAGTGTATGACCCCAAACTATTTTCCTAAGGGCATCTCCTGCACTTCTTACTTCTCTTTCCAGCCCAACTTTTCATCCTCCAGGTCTTTGCACAAACTTTCTTTCTATTAAAAATTCCCTTTTGTGACTTGACTTGTACCTTTCTTTACCTATCACATTGATAGTCATTTTAAGACAGTTAAAATGTTCCATTTATTAAGATCCCCCCAAAAATTGAACCTCTCTCTATTGTGAACCTCATCAATAGTTTGAGAAAATATTTTTCATATCATATAATACAGAGATTGTCCCCAAACTTGGTAATTCCCAGAATAACTTGAGGAATTTTAAACAACTGAATTTCACATGCCTAGATTCCACTATAAATTTCTGAGTTATTATTCTGAAGATGAGGTCCTACAGGCTCCCTAGTACCTTGAGAGGAGTGAATTTACTAAGTCATCTCTCTATTCTCAATCTCCTGGATGATTCTTTGTACAAAAAAGTATCTTAATGAGTAGTTGCAAAATAAAAGATGAACTAATTAGTTATTTAGTTTTTCATTCAAATCTACAAGCTCATTCTGCCCTACTCTCCATCCTAAATCTGGGGTAGGTTGGGCTAGTGTCTACTGAAACTTGACGAGGGTATTTGGAGATCCTTTGGCTCACAGACCTCTGTAGTGTTAAAGAGACCCTGTTAAAGTGAATTGAGCAAGGGCTTTAGAAATAGAACTGGATTCATGCTTGGCTTTACTTTTTTTAGTACTATGATCTTGGACACATTACCTAATCAGGCTGAGCCCCAGTTACTTCACATGTAAAATGGTGATTAGATTAAATGCTACAGAGAAGAGAGCAGGGAGAATTAAGTTAAAGGAGATGGTGAAGGTAAAGCATGGAACAGAGTGGGCATGTATCATATGGAGGTTCCTATTACAACAAATCTTTAGTCATTTTCACTAACTTCATGAGTTAACATCTGATAATAGTTCATCAATGAACTCTTTCTTCCAATATTTAACACATTAAATCTGTAACTATAGGCACAGAATTTTGCTCACCAATTTGAAATAAGATACACAGCTCTCACTCAATTATCATTCAAGAGGAAAACATCAAGGGTAAAATAACTCCGCATCTATGGTCTACAGTCCTGCTTTCGTCTAGGGAAGGTTAAAGAATGAAGACCAATTTAGGGGATATAAAATATTTGGGAAAGTCTTTGGACACCTATCCTTTGTACAAGGCCACTGGAACACTTTCTGAGCTCCCAAAGGAAAGAAGAGTCCACTCACACTAATATGTGGTGTAGAGATACGTCTAGCTGAGCGATGATATAAGAACATTTGTGTATGATGGAATGATGTTGCAGCATTTATATCTACTCATCACTCTCTCTTAATCTTGATAGACTTGAACAATAGTAATTCCAAGGTAAGCCATATCATTTAGAATATTCCATTGTTAAACATACTTCAGAGGAAGTTATTAATTGATAATTAATTATTCTATTTTAATTTGGCCAAGAAAACCTATCATTTTGGCAACTGTACTTTGAGACCATGCTTCACATGATATTTTTGTTTACACTCTACATCTGTGCCTGTGTGCAATAAATCAGGCTCAATAGTGTCTTTCCTGTCACATTCCATCATGTCACACTAATAAAATTTGACATGCTCAGGGATGTGGCGATGAATAACCGTATGTGATGACACCTTGGGGAATGCTTAAAAATGATGCTCTGTGATGGTTTCAAAACCTTATGTATACTTCCAAGTTGTCTAAGTAACCTTAACTAAATACATTGTTCCAGCCATGAAAAGATCAATTTAGTTCTTTAGCACCAATGTCACTAAACGAAATTAACATTTAAGCTGATTAGTAATCACTAAATAACACAGGATCATAAAATAGAGTACACCTAATATTTCAAAAAAGCTCTACCATATTTCATGTGAATGAGCAGACCAAAGCTGTAAGACACTGATAAGGAAAAACAAAGACATTTATCATAGGTTTAAAATAATAACCATTTGGGACTTTTGTGGTTGTTATTATCTTCTTTATTATTATATCTCCTAAAATAGTCATTATTTCTATAACTACTAATCTGGCTTCTGAACTAAATCCCCTCTTCATGCTAAGAACATCATATCATCTAGTCTTTGTCAACATTCTGCGTCATTATTCCCATTTACTAGTTGACTAAACAGAGACTGAAGAAATGGAATTAACAAGCTGAAATTCACATAGCTGATAAGTAGCAGAATTAAAACTAGAATTCAGATATTTTGTGCTGTGTCCAAACACTGCAATTTCCAGATCCTTCCAGTCTCTTGTGCCCCTTGGAGCTGAACATTTTCCCAGGACACCATATCCTTGTGGGACTCCAACCACCTTTCCTGGAGAGATTGCCTTGTGGTTAGGATTCTCTTCACCAAGAGAAGAAGGGCTAGAGATCTCTATCTGAGAACTGAGAGCTGACTCCTACAACTGTGCAGAGAAACCTCCGCAGCCTGTGAAAGCACACTGGGCAAGCCTACTCTGATTAGTAGCACATTATGATTTCTGAAGTAAAGCAGTCTCTAAAACCCAGCAGGATGCATCTAGAGGAAGTCCTCTTTACACTCTTCTTGAACTTATATATACTAGATTTGGTGCTAAGCTTTGAAAATGAAGCCAACAGAACATTACCTATGTTACATGATCTCAATAGTCTACAGTTTTATATTAAAAACCACTTCCCCATTGGAATAAACTAATCCACATGAAATAATGGCTTATGTAATATAAACTATTCCTGATTTTACTACTATTTAACTTGGAAGTGGTGAAAGTGGAATATATACTGTAGACTATTGAGATCATGTCACCCAGGTAATGTTCTGTTGGCTTCATTTTATATGTATCTTTTACAGAGATGGGGTTTCATTATGTTACCCAGACTGGTCTCAAAGTCCTGGGCTCAAGCGATCCTCCCACCTTAGCCTCCCAAAGTGCTGGAATTACAAGGCATGAACCACCACACCTGGCCTTAATAGGCAAGTTTTTGTAAAGAATTTCTTGCTTTTTATGGAGAATTGGTAAAATATCCTAATATCTGGTTAAAGTTGACATTATATATTCCAGTTTGGATAAATATTATCAAAACATTCACTCATATGTTTGTTATTTGTAATACTTTTTCTGATCTAGAAAATGCAATATCATAGTGATTTTTAGGGGTAGTTTCTGTAGCAATATGAGATAGTAAATTTTATCCACATTTATTATATATGATTTGTCATAAACAGCATGTTGATAATGATCTACACAGATAATGAATGAGTAATGTGATGAATAAGAGGAACATATTTAGGATTTGTCATATGATATGTCATCTTTGAAAAGCTAATAATATTCTTCACTCTCTAGTTTAAGATTAGTATCTGTATATTTCAGTCTGTAGCATGTGGACAACATCCCTTTTCAGGGGCGGGGGGAAGTCTTATTGAATGGGAATATAATTTGCTACAGCTGGTCACCATTTTTTAACAAGTATAGATACACATCTCCCTAGCCCACTTTCTTTTACTTTTTTTAAAAACATTCAATTCCCCAATGAGTTCTGAAGATTTATCATGATTTCATCTCATAAACAAATACAAAACTTTAAATATTGGGATTGAAAATGACTATGAAGATACCATCTAACTGTGTAGTTTTTCCAAATGCATTTTATCTGTCTAACCAAAGTCAAATTCCTAAATAGCTTTTGACCCAAAAATAGAATCTAGAAAAATATAGTTCATTTGTTGATTCAATGCAATGTAAGGTAGATCTGAAATAAAATTCCCAATTGTTTGGGAAAATAATCCTAATACTTCTCATTTACTAATACCTTTAATTTTGTTCCTAAAGTGAAACCACAGCTACCAGCAAAAGCATTTGTTGGGTTGAACTTTTTTTTTTTAATAGGTTGGGCATCTTTTTATATTTATGGGCTTTAAATATTCTTTTATTATTATTATTATTATACTTTAAGTTTTAGGGTACATGTGCACAATGTGCAGGTTAGTTACATATGTATACATGTGCCATGCTGGTGCGCTGCACCCACTAACTCGTCATCTAGCATTAGGTATATCTCCCAATGCCATCCCTCCCCCCTCCCCCCACCCCACAACAGTCCCCAGAGTGTGATGTTCCCCTTCCTGTGTCCATGTGTTCTCATTGTTCAATTCCCACCTATGAATTCTCATATTCACTATGAGTGAGAATATGTGGTGTTCGGTTTTTTGTTCTTCCGATAGTTTACTGAGAATGATGATTTCCAATTTCATCCATGTCCCTACAAAGGACATGAACTCATCATTTTTTATGGCTGCATAGAATTCCATGGTGTATATGTGCCACATTTTCTTAATCCAGAACTTTTATAGTTAAAGCCACAGATTTTTTTAGAAAGTTCTTAATCAAAATGGTAAAGATAAAGCCAAGTTTGGTATTGAGTAAACACATGGGAACATATTTTCAGTATTGTTTAAAGACATGATGGAGAGTGTTACCAGTAAGTAACATTATCATCAAGAATAATAAAAACCACGGATTTTGTACCTATTGTGTCCCTATGCCAACCACCAAAATAAGAGCTTCATGTAAAAGCTTTATAGTTAAAGCTCAGTATTTTTTAACTTACAAGTTTTGTTTGTTGAATGTCACTTTTTGAATTGTGAAACCTTGTTTCTGTTATTCCTTTCTTCTTTTGATTTTTTGGTGGGGGTGAGAAGTAAAGGGCTTAATTTATCAATTTTTTGCCTTCAGAACAGATAAATTATTAAAGAATCAGCCAAATGCAATGGCTTATTATGTGTTTTATGAAAAATAGGAGAGTTAACTCTAATGTTTCCATTTCATTTAGTGTTATCTTTTTTTCCTTTGCTTATCTGTTTGATTTCTATCACTTCTGGGTTATCAGTAATAAGTCTAGTCAAAAGCAGTTATAACGGAAACAGCATTGGTCACTTTTAGCAAAAAAAAATGTATTTTTAATAATTTATGAATTTTCAATGACTAAAGTTGAAGTGGATAGTAGAGCAGTGTGTTGAACCTATACCTGCTTCATAAACATTTTCTGCATAGATCTTCAGTTGAAAAGAGACAATAATTCTAAATGCAGGTGTCGTCCTTTAAATGAATTAGATCTATTTTCCTCTTCTCTCCCTTTCTTCTTATTTCCTTCCCCTTTTCATTTTTCTTCCTTTGTTTCTTTCTTCTTCCTCTCCTCCCTCCATTCCTTCCCACTAGATAGGTTGGCAAATATAAGCTGATATTTTTACGCAAGGGAATGACCATTTTTACATTTTGTTAGTTTGAAAGGATTTTTTTTTCTACACCTAAATTACTATCTCTCAAATAATGCTTCTTCAAGCATTCTTCAAGGGTTTTAAAATGTACCACCGAAAATACTCATTTTGTTATAAAATGAGCTTTGATAACACTACATATTCTACTATAGAATAACCTTATTAGCATGTAAGTGACTCCTAGAATTACTATATTAAGAAAACCTGATCAAAAATACCCCTTTCTTGACTATTACCATCTTGTGAAGTGTCACAAGATGTCCTATGTGTCCAGGACAGTAATTTGAGAAACACTAAACTCAGCCAATTGTAGTTATACATCAGGACCCATATGTTCTCACAAGTGCCTTGTTTCTTTTTATTTTGAAAGAAACTATCGTGGAAAACTGGGGGGAAAGTCAGTAAATAAACTTAGGTGGATTGGTATTTTGTAAAGCAATCAAAATGCTAGACAATTCTGTGTCGGTTGCCATAGAATGAATGGTCAGCTCACAGGGAGAAGAACTCAGGAGTTTACATGAAGCTCTTATTTTGATGGTTGGCACAGGGACACAATAGGTACAAAATCCGTGGTTTTTATTATTCTTGATGATAATGTTACTTACTGATAACACTGTCCACCATGTCTTTAAACAATACTGAAAATATGTTCCCATGTGTTTACTCAATACCAAACTTAGCTTTATCTTTACCATTTTGATTAAGAACTTTCTAAAATTTCTTCTTTCATGTTGTAATCATATAATTTGGATGTATTAGATACACAGCATAACATTATGTTGCTGTCTGAAGCATTAAAATAATATCTGTAAACTTTTAGATATCAGTACCATTGTCTCTAGGCTAAATAATGAGATTAAGGATAATAATAGCACAAATGTATTTGGTGTTTTTTATTTGTCTTGCTCTATACCATATATTTTACATATGTTGTGTTATTTAATCCTCAGAACAGCCATATGAGGCACATGTCATTTCAAGGTATACATTTCTGTGTTACTTTAAAATATGAAGAAAATGTGATTCATTAAGAGATAATAACTTACCCATTATCACAAGGCTGTTGCGTAGAACTTTCGGGATTCAAATCTTGGTCTATCATATTCAGAGCTGGTGTTCCAAACTGATTATTCTGCTTCATGCTACAACTGTATGGCTAAAAAAAGAAATCAATTTGACTTTTGTAGTGCTTTTCTGCCATTCTTACAGTCTGAAATTTTAAGCATAATTGGGGTATTACATTTACCACTCAGCTATCTCTGAATTTCAAGTGTTCTGCTGATGAGACATGAACTATACAGATGGTGATATGTCTGGGGTTTATACAAAAGATAGAGGATACACAAAGAATGACTTCAGAAGGTGATATATGCAAGCAGGTTAAATTGAATTGATGAATAAAATGATAAAATTGTATTTCACAAAAAAGAAAAACATAAGAAAATTGCAAAGCAGAATGGGAGAAACCAAGAACAAATGAGAAAGCTTTTTTGGCACATTTGTCAAAAAATGTATATATGAATAATTTTTTGGAAGGCAGAATCCCTTAAGATAGGAGTTTTAGCATGTAACTTAAGGGAAGACATATGTGCAAACCCATGTCATGCTAAAATTAATAAACACACTGTACGTAAAATTAAATGTCTTTATATACACAGTCTGTAAAGAACTCCTGCACTTCAAACGGAAGATTTGGTTTAAAGAGTGTGATTATGAAGTACTGTATCTAGTTTAGACTCCGGGAACCAGAATTAAAAGGCAACTTCAACTTGGTTCAACTTTTCTTAGGAACTAGGAAGTAAAACAAGCCAAACATACAATTATGCTGTTAGATGCTTTCAGAAAAGAAATGAGAGAGTTTCTAAACAGAATCACTGCATCTCAATGTTGACCTATTGTATATCATACCATGTGTTTGTTATCAGAATGTGTTTTGGGAAAGTTTTACAAAACATTTTAATTTATACCTTGAAAATGACATTTTATTTGTATATAAGTTTTATATTACTGGTGGCTATTTTCTGTTAAAGAAATAATTTCAGAATGTCACCATATTTTCCACAATTGTGAAAAAGACTTTCTAGATTGGTGTCCTGTCCCCTGGCGTCCACAAATGCAATGCCTTCAAGTTAGACTGCTTAGTGTGCAATTATTTTATTGAATATTCATTTTTATGCATTGGGATTCCAACATAAAGTGAATTCCTGTGCTTCAAGAAAATATAGAACTTAATCACCAAGTTGTACATTTAACCTTTGAGCAATGTGGGAGTTAGGGGCACCAAACCCCTGCACAGTCGAAAATCCAGGTATAATTTTAAAACGTAACTACTAATAACCTGCTGTTGACAGGAAGTTTTACCAATAACAATATATTAACACATATTTTATATGTTATGTGTATCACATACTGTATTCATACAATAAAGTGAGCTAGGAAAAATGTTAGTAAGAAGATCATAAGGAAATACTCTAGTATATTTATCAACACCTTAAGTTTGTGTTGTCTGTTTGCAAGACGAATTGTCTGTCTGCAATAGTAGGCAACCACAGCTGCAGACTTTAATCCATGGTACATATCAAGCAATTCAACTTTTTCTTGTAATATCATGACTTTTCTCTGATTTTTGAGAGTACTTTGAGCATCACTACTGGTGCTTTATGTAAGTCCCATAGCGTTATTTAAGGTTTATGGTATTGCACTAAACATGACGAAAAGTATGTGAAAAGTGGAAAGATCACTTTTTACTTCCATACACAATTTATTGGAGAGATGAACTTCCCAAGTGGAGATGATTAACAGATTCTTGTAATATTTGAGCTCACCACAATAGTAGTAGGAGAGGGTTATGAAATTATTACAGCAGTATGTACGTACCACAGTTATGTTTTATCCAGTTATGAATTAATACTGCATCTTTACATTTGGTTATATTTCTCTGGACTGAATGGTACCAGGTAGGGTCGGTATTTGTGTGAATGAGTTTTCATAAATTTTAACTTTTTATAATAGATTTGTGTATATTTTAAATGATAAAATAGACTAATTTTTTGCATTTTTTAATGCATTTATGACATACCTTTTTCCTTTTTATATATATTCTTAGACTATGTGGTTTGTCTGCTAGTTTTTTTGAATTGCCACAAATTTCCAAAGAACTTTCCAGTATATTTCTAGAAAATAATTCATGTATGGGAGGCTGAGATGGGTGGATCACCTGAGGTCAAGAGTTCGAGACCAGCCTGGCCAACATGGTGAAACTCTGTCTCTGCTAAAAATTAAAAAAAAAAAAATTAGCCGGGCGTGGTGGCAGGTGTCTGTAATCTCAGCTACTTGGGAGGCTGAGGCAGGAGAATTGCTGGAACCCGGGAGGTGGAGGTTGCAGTGAGCCACGATCGTGCCATTGCATTCCACTCCGGGCCGAAAACAGCAAGACAGTGTCTTATAAATAAATAAATAAATAAATAAATAATCCCTGTATAAGTGAACTCTCGCAGTTCAAACTAGTGTTGTTCAGGAGTCAACTGTATTTTGAACAAAGCAACCAATTCTTGAAAAATGAAGTTGGAATATAAGCAGGGTGTACTTTCTATAACGCTTTTAAAGGATTGTGAACAATTGGGAAAATAGTTTCTAGAATTAATGATTTTTATAAGGAGAATAAAAGAAAAATACTGCAGTAAAAATGTCTTAGAGTTTGAACTCTGTGTATTCCAGCTCAGGTGAAACTGCAAATTATGGTAGCTATTATTAAACTAAGCTAAAATCTCAAACAGAAAAATGAGAGGTCCAAATGGTGATTGTTAAGTTATATAACTTGTCATAAAGTTCCTTATTATATAAGTAACCTCATCTTTTATTATATCTTAAATGGAAACTAAAGAAACCACAAAATAAGACCTTCTGTGGCAATAGCAGTAAAGCAAAATAATCATTAAAGCATAGATATGAAGATTTAATAATATCATACAATATCTATTTCAACAGAAATAGTACATTGTAGTTGACTTTAAGTACCAATAATATATATTTAAGCTTGTTTCTATTCAATGAAATGATTAGGGACACTAACTGTCTTGTTAGCAAAGAAAGCCTTATCCACAGAGAAAAGAAAATAACTATCCCAGTACTCTTTCTCAGAACGGGCATTTTTCTTCTGTATTTCTCTTTGTAGCCTTTATAGTATTTATAAACTGATTATCATAAGCTTTTTCAGTAGTAACTCCTGTTAAGAAAACACAAATCAATGGTACTAAAATAACTTAAAGCTACATGAAGTCTTTTTAGTGTGTTTGTGCATATGTGTGTGTACTGTGTGTGTGTATATATATATATCTATATATGTAGATATATATACAAACTGTTCCACTGCATTATTTTAGCATATCTGTGAGCTAAACTGAAGGAGGGAAAAAGTAAAAGGATTCAGCTGTAGTTGTACTAAGATACTTAATTTTTATTTATTTTAGGTGTTTAAGAGCAAACTTTATATTTCTTGCTGTGTGCCTCAAAAGTCCTAATGGGCAATGAAAACCTTTCTAGCTAATGCTATTAGGACTTGTGGTCAGTTGGTTAGTAAAAAGTAACCCCTTAAAGCTTAAAGAAATTGTAAGATGATACACACAGAGCTAACCATTTTAACTTAAGACTATCCCTGAATCCCTTGTAGTAGAGCTGAATACTTTTTTTTTTTTTTTTTTTTTTTGCACGGGCCTGCTCATGCTCAAAGTGGAGTTGCACATTGTCTTTTCTTGCATAAAACATATCCTTATTCATCAACAATAACTACTAATTTGGGTTCTTCAAAGTACAGTGAGAACTTAATTGATACTTGTGAAGCTATATTGTTACAGGCCAGTCTTTGTTCTTGGAGCTCCCAAGATGGGGGCGGGCCACTCCCAAGATGGCAGGAAGCCTTTTGTTCTCTGACCTGGGGTTCTTGGCCTCACAGATTCCAAGGAATGGAACCTTGGGCCATGTGGTGAGTGTTATAGCTCTATTAGAAGCCATGGGTCAAAGAAGAGAACCGTGGAACCCAGTGACTAGTGTTCAGCTCAATCAGGACGAACCCGGGCACTTAGCCTTGCAGGAACAATTGCGAACCTTTAGCTGGATTGGGAGCACAGTGGACACCCTGCCCCATCCGGAGGAGTGAAAGTCAATGGCAGGTCTGTGATGGTGGGGAACAGCAGTGGTGGACAGTGAACGAAACCTCAGCTCGAGCTGGAACAAACACGGACCTGAACAGTGTACACTTGCAAGATTTAATAGAGTGAAAACAGAGCTCCCATAGGGGACCCAAGGGGGTTGCCACTCGCGGCTCGAATGCCTGAGATTTATATCCCAATCATTGTCCCTCCACCTGTGCT
The DNA here is from genome assembly GCF_000001405.40 of Homo sapiens. Taxonomy (NCBI): domain Eukaryota; kingdom Metazoa; phylum Chordata; class Mammalia; order Primates; family Hominidae; genus Homo; species Homo sapiens. Next base: position 89,169,370 of record NC_000007.14, read on the forward strand.
CTCAGGCAATATATGATTTGACTATTTCTTTACCTCCTGCTTTTAGCCTAATTTGTATTTTAGTGAGCCCTCTTTACTACCTGATTGGTCGGGTGTGAGCTGAGTTACAAGCCCTGTGTTTAAAGTTAGGTGTGGTCACCTTCCCCAGCTAGGCTTAGGAATTCTTAGTCGGCCTAGGAAATCCAGCTAGTCCTGTCTCTCAATAGGAATGTAAAATCTTTCTAGATTTATACTATTTCTTCAATAGTCTAAGGTCATTGTTCTCATACATAATTCGATAATATCTATTCCTGAGCCTTTCGAAAGCACTGAACCTAGTTTTCATAGAAATAGCTCTTTCATTTCAAAAATATTTTATCAGTAAAAAAATATTCAATTAACTTATATAATTAGAAGTAACAAGTATAACTGCCACAAACAGGTTGGGGAAGAAATATATATTCTTATAAGCATACAGGTTTGGATGGTGGGAAGTCAAGTGCTCAAGTGCCCAAGGATGGTATACCTGTCACCTCATCCGAGCTCTAGATACTATGGTTTACAGAGAAATAAGAAGCTATTGGTAAGCCTGCAAGTCAGTTATTTAGTGATAAGTTAAGAGAGATTTTACTGAAAAATTTCGAAGGCCTTGGATAAAATAAGAAACCAACTTTTAATACACTTCAAATATACTTCAACATTCTGTTTGGACACTTAGACCCCAGACTGTGCAGATCTGTGGAATAGTTATTTAGAAGGCATGCATTTACTGATTTTAAAATGAAGTCACTAAACACTTTATTTTCTTTGATAAATTTTGTATGAAAACACATTTCAAGTTGAAATTGGGTATGACCAGAAATCCAAAATTTTACTATTCATTTCAAAATAGGGAAAAATGGATATTTTATCTCATTTAGGCCACAGTGATACTTTAAGTTTTATGTCATGGCCCAAATTGATTTACCTAACCAATGAAAGTGTCAATCCATTGCCTTTGTAGATGCAGAAACTACGGCCTTGTTCTTTGCAATAGTAAACACAAATGACAAACTGCTTCTAGACCTCCCTGAGCATGGGTAAATCTTTGTTAATAAACCTATGAAATGTGAAAAAGTAAAGGTTTCTTTCTTTTAGTTTATATCTGGAGTGAGCTGGGAATATTGAAGTTGAGGGAGTTGTAGGGAGAAGTATTGGACAGTCTACCCCCTTCAGTAGAAGGATTTGTGAGTCTCCAGTAGAATCAAGCTTTGTAACACAATCTCTTACTGAGGCTGAATTTTTTCTTGTTTTCTTGTTGCCTTTTATGTGCTTGTTTATTTGGTTTTCCCTGAGGTCCTTGCCTTGGTGGTAGGTTTGTAAAGAAAAAGTCACATAATCCCCATTATATTGTTTGAAGCAAAAGAGAACACTCAGCTCTGCTTCAACACTTTCTCCCCTACAGGTGCCACCACCAGCAGCACACTGCCAATGGGCTTTCCCAAGTTATCTCTGTTCTGCCTTCACACTTCGCAGATGGGTTTCCTCTGCTTCAACAATACTTTGCTCATTCAGAAACCCAACCATTTTTTTACTCATCTTTCACCTCTCAGCCCCAAAACAAACATCTCCTGGCCTTGCATTATTTACCCAGAAAAATCTGGCATGATCAAATCCTGGGCTTATTCTTGGTAGGATTAACACTATGGAACAAAATGCACCAGGAAAAAAAGTGTTTATATGAATGACCAATAAGGCTGGTCTGCCTCTAGCCTTAACTGAACTGTGGTTTCCGGTCAATTTATAACATGTGGTTATGGTGTGAATTTCTATTTAAAAATGCAACAACAGCAGTAATAAATTATTTGGGGTTCAAAGTATTCATTAGGGCATTTATGTCTATTACCTTATTTGTTCCTTGTAGTAACTCAATGAAGTAGGCACAAATAATGCTGCTGCTGCTTCTTCTTCTTCTTCTTCTTCTTCTTCTTCTTCTTCTTCTTCTTCTTCTTCTTCTTCTTCTTCTTCTTCCTCCTCTTCCTCTTCTTCCTCTTCTTCCTCTTCTTCCTCTTCTTCTTCTTCTTCTTCTTCTCCTTCTCCTTCTCCTTCTCCTTCTTCTTCTTCTTCGACAGAGTCTTCCTCTGTCACCCAGGCTGGAGTGCAGTGGCGCTGTCTTAGCTCACTGCAATCTCTGCCTCCCGGGTTCAAGCATTTCTTCTGCCTCAGCCTCCGGAGTAGCTGGGACTACAACCTTGTGCCACCACACCTGGCTAATTTTTGTAGTTTTAGTAGAAAATGGGTTTCACCATGTTGGCCAGGCTGGTCTCGAACTCCTGACCTCAAGTGATCCGCCTGCCTTGGCCTCCCAAAGTGCTGGGATTACAGGTGTGATCCCCATGTGTGGGCAGCTCCATATTTTTATAGATTAAGAGACTAGGGCTTTGGGGGATTAATTTGTTCAAATTCCAATAGCTAGTGTTGGCAAATGTGATCCGAGCCTGGATCATCTTATTTTGAAGTCTGAGATCTTAATCCTGAAAGACATTGCTGTCTCTAATTAATAATTGAGTTATTTTAGACTTGGGGGAACTCTGAGATGCCAAACAATAGGATTTTGAAATCACAAAAGGATCTATTTGAAATATAGTCCCTGACACTTACAGAAATTGACTTGTTGTATAATTGACCTAAAGTAAGGGGTGACTGGCAAAAGATGTCATGGTCTCATCAAACCCTGTAGCTGAAAGGGCACTTTGAGTTCATGGCACTATATAATAAAATCAGACAAAGGAAGGAAGCATAATAAGTTGTGAACTAGTAACTATGACACTCAGAGACCAATTGAAGAAACAGAGAACATTCTAGAATATCTGGATGAGGATTTAGAATATGTCATTTGATTTGTAAAATATGACTTTTTGACAACATTCAAGAGAATAGTTCAAGCAAAAGATGGAAGAGGGCACCAGTTTGCAGTAGTAAAAGAGTAAATGGGAAGTGAGAAAATGACAGCAGTTAGTATAATCTACCTTTCAAAATGTTTAGCAAGATATCCTAGTTAAGCAATTCAGTTAAGCAAAAATGTTGAGAGTGATTGTGGCTATGTCGGTCAAGTTAATCTATACACAGGAGGTCATTTACCATACTCCTTGTTGATTCTTCTCGCCTATGAAATTATTTTCTTTTGCCTTGTCAAGTGTTTTACTAACTGTACAGCCACTTTTTCTCCTTCCTGAATACAGTAAACTAAAAATTTCTTTCTGACATGTTTTATAGCAATGTAACAAATTTAATGTTCTTAATATACCCTTGTAGAACTTGAAAATTGAAATATAGGTATTTATAAATAACCAGAGTTTATTATGGTTAAGCAAAATTCAGGGAATTGTATCTCACTTATAATTTGAAATTTAAATCATTTGAATCTTCGTTTTCTCCATCTCATTTTGAAGTAATAAAACATGATCTTAGCTTTGGAATTGGTCTTTGACTAGAATAAAAATTTAAGTAAACATTTTGATCCACTAGTAGTGTATATTTCATTCTCACCTCCCTCAAAAGGAATAAACTTTAATAAGTAGAGCTAATTATATCACAGTGCTTGGTGAAAACGCATTCAACAGAAGGTAAGGAGTATAGTATGTCTAGTGGTACCAAAGAAAACCAGGGCTTTGAGAGACGATAATTCAAGGCAATGATTACAATTTGAGGCTGCTGCATGGGCCCTCCTGGGGTATGAATTAATCCTTTGAACCTTTCTGTTTCACATTATTTAACAAAGGACCTAAAATTAATGGTAATACCTCTTTGACTCAAAAAGTTAATCCCTGACTATGTGAAACATGTGTCTGGCTCTCCTTATAAAGTTAGATTCAACATTATGAGCTTTTATTATTTTATAATCCAGCCTACACCATTCCACAATAAGTTCCTCTCTTCTCTGTATTTATTAATTGTTATAGAGGTAGCTGTTTTTTTATATTTACCTGAATTTTAATATTTGAGTAATTTAAATAAGTTAAATTATTTTAGATTTTAGAATATCACATAAGTATGAAAATAATTATGTTAAATCTATACATCAAATATTTAATAAAGCTGATCCTATGTGTACCCTA